>NC_000005.10:177115334-177265780 GCF_000001405.40 Homo sapiens | reverse complement strand
CTCCACCATACCCGAGTCCCTGTACACGCACTGGAAGCAGACGGTGTTCTACATGGAGGACTACCTGACCTTGAAGACGGGCGAGGAGATCTTCGGCACCATCGGCATGCGGCCCAACGCCAAGAACTGGGACCGGGACTTCACCATCAACCTAGATTTCAGGGGCCATCTGTGCGACCTGTCCTGCTCCACAGACTACAGGATGTGCTGAGGCCCGGCTCTCCCGCCCTGCACGGGCCCAGGGGCTGAGCATTCCTAGACGGTTGTGGGGCTCCCCCTTCCTCTCTCTCTCCCTCCCTCCCCCAGAGGAGGTTTTAGGGGCCTGGGCTGGGGGGATGGGGAGGGCACATCATGACTGTTTTTCATAACTTATGTTTTTAGATGGCTGCATTTATGCCAATAAATCTTCAGCTGGGAAACAAAAAAAATTCTTACTATAAACATACTTCTGTTGGCACTTTATATATAATTTATTCCCATGCTGACTTTTGCTTTTTTTTTTTAACAGTCCAGAGGTCTTTTATTTTTTTTAACACCTATGATGCCATGAATTCATAGGGAATAGGTTCCAGCAGCTCAGACTCCTTCCCATTGGTTCTCACAAAGTATGCTTCTCTGAGTGGAGCAAGCTAGTGCTTCAGTTGAACCCAGGTTAACTTTCTCTTTGGCTTCTTTTTCTGATCATTTTCCTTCACATGTTTCAGGAAGCTATCTTGGCTCTTAGGAGTGCTTAATGTGCTCAATATGCACATGAAATCTCTTGGCAAGAATCTTGCCCTTGTTTGTTTACAACAATGCCAACAGCATGCTGGGTAACACTGTAGACTCTTCCAGTTTTGCCATGATAACACTTGTGGGGCATTCCTTTTTGAAGAGTACCCATTCCTTTGATGTCTACAATATCACCTTTCTTATAGATTCGCATATATGCGGCCAAAGGAACAACTCCATGTTTTCTAAAAGGCCTACAGAACATGTACTGGGTGCCTCTCCTCTTTCCCTTTGTGTTTGTCATTTTGGCGAATTACAGGAAGATGGCAGTTTCGGCCAAAAGGGCCTTTACTTAATAATTCTCTTCAACAAGCTCTTAAAATAAGAGTGGGAGTTTTATTTGTTTTTGTTGGGGCCAGGGGTGTGTTTCAGATCAGACTCCTACTTCAACTGGAAAAGCTCACTTTTGTCTGTATTGTATAGTGAAGCTCAGATTCAGAGTAAGATTACATTTGGAAATGTGTCTGCTGCTAAAAAACAAGTCTGAAGAACAATTATGTTGCAATATGTTATTTGTTTGACATACGTGAAGAAAGTATGGCCTCTCAGAGATATATTGCTGGAAAAGAGTGCTAAAATAACCTGTTCAGAACTGTGGATATTCATTCTTAGATACTATGCTAAAACTCCACAGTGTATAGTTGCAATGTGGAAACTGAAACTATGTCACTAAACTTAAAATGACTACACTAAAATTCATTGATCTGTCTTCTATTTTGAATGCATCTTTTACATATGCAAAGTTTTTAACATCATGCATTAGCTATATTAAAAATATTGCCTCATCTCTACTAAAAATACAAAAAATTAGCTGGGCATAGTGGCACATGCCTGTAGTCCCAGCTACTCAGGAGGCTAAGGCAGGAGGATCGCTTGAACCCGGGAGGTGGGGGTTGCAGTGAGCCAAGATAGCGCCACTGCACTCCAGCCTGACGACACAGCCAGACTCCATCTCAAAAAAAAAAAAAAAAAAAAAAAAAATTGGTTCATTGAGTCATATGCATCTTCTAAATGGCCTATTTCATTATACTTTTAAAATCACATTTATTAATACTACCATGATCCAATCAGTAAGTACTAAGAAATTGTCAAACTGAAGGTAGCAGACAATAGTTTACGAAAATTTTAATTTTCACTTAAAAGCTCAAATTTTATCATTCGCCATTATTTTGCAGTTCTTTTTCTTGAATTGATAGGCTCACAGTTGTTCATTTTCAAGTAAATGTCTGCCAAATATCCAAGCATGAATAACCATAGTTTATCAGTAACTCTTACAATTAAAAACGGTGTTCCATGAACAATGTGGATAGTTCAGCTTGAAACTCAGTTGCATGAGTGCTTTAACTCAAGATAACCATCAGTATGCAAAGAAACTGCTTTACGTGTACTTCCCACTTCATCACAGAGAATAGAAAAACAATGTTGACTTCATGGACAAGATATAATAAAACTAAGGTGTTTTACTTCAAGAAACTTCTAAGGTGAAACTGCCATGCTTTTACTGCGAGTAGGTGATGATACAGAACACGATGACTGCTTACTTGTATTGGTTTGGAGGTAGTGCCTTGGTTTATACTAAGGTGGCAGCAGTTTTACCAATCCATTGACTGTGTACTAGCTGTCAGATTTCAACTAAGTAAAAAAAGCTTCCAGAATTAACTAAACTCCAGTCTTTGGCTACAGAAACAATATATCTCAAGTAAGGAAAATTCTTCTTTTACAGAATTATTGGCATATACATACACCTGATAATACAAATCTCCTTAGTGATGTGAATTCAAAATATGTCAGACAAGTCTCAACCAATTTAGAAAGTTTATTTTGCCAAGGTGACGATCACGTCCATGACACAACCTCAGGAGATCCTGGCAACATGTGCCTAAGGTGGTGGGGGTACAGCTTGCTTTTATATATTTTAGGGAGATAAGAGACATCAGTATGTGTAACATTGTCATTGGTTCTGATAGGGGGTTGGGGTTCCAGGTCATAAGTAGGTAAAAGACAAAAGGTTGCATTCTTTTGAATCCTTCATCAGCCTTTCACTGAATACACAATTTAATCTGGCTCAGTGAAACTGCATTTTTACATAAATAGGGCAGAGGAAGCAATGAGGTACGCATTTGTCTCAGATGAGCATAGGGATGACTTTCTGTCCCACACCTGTGAAGATAAGCTATCGGTTTCCATTGCCAGGGTGAAATTCAACAGAACAGAGCAATTCTCCTGCCTCAGCTTCCCAAGTAGCTGGGATTACAGGTGTCTGCCATCACGCCTGGCTAAGTTTTGTATTTTTAGCAGAGATGGGGTTTCGCCATGTTGGCCAGGCTGGTCTCGAACTCCTGACCTCAGGTGATCCGCCTGCCTCAGCCTCCCAAAGTGCTGGGATTAGAGGCATGAGCCATGGCGCCCAGCCTTGTAGCTGTATTATTGAGGAATAAAATGGGAGGCAGGTTTGCCTGATGTAGTTCCAAGCTTGACTTTTCCCTTGGCTTAGTGATTTGGGCCTCCTGGGATTTATTTTCCTTTCACAGTGGTATCTATTTTTTTGGTTGTTTTTTGTTTTGTTTTGTTTATGAGGTCAGTCTCGCTATATTGCCCAGGCTGGTCTTGAATTCCTGGGCTCAAGCAATCCTCCCCACCTTGGCCACCTGAATAGCTGGGACTACAGGCATGCACCACCGTGTTCGGCTTCTTTAGTGATATCTTAAGAAAGAGGAAAGAAAAAGAAGGTATTGTTTTCTTGAAGGAAGTCATCTTGCAGGGAAAGTGGGTAATAACAAAGATAATTTTTAGAAGAAAATCAAACAAAATGAGGCAGGCTGCAGAAAAAGTCAGCCCTACAGAGGATTAAAAATGAGACCAGAGACCATTTAAACTTATTTTCTCACTGTGCAAGGGCTTTAATCATATCTTTTCATTTAATTGATGCTATTATAATATGACTGTGTGATAGGGAATAGAGCCTATATTTTATAAACAAGCAAACCAAGCCTTGGTAAAGCAATTTGCCTGAAGAGACAAGCCAGAATTCAAACTTGGACTTTGAGATTCAAAGTACAATGCTCATTCTATTACATATATTGACTCTTTTTAAAATTAGTCCCTCAGAATGTTCAGAGCCAGCCAGGTTTTCAGGAAACTGCATAATCAATAAGTAGATAATAAAAAAATTATTGCCAAGTAACTACTAAATCAACAAAATAAAATCTGAAAATAAATGAGAAAACTGAAGAACTGGTGCCACTCTCATCACTAGAAAATAGTGGAGCAAAGTCCACAATGAACTTAGAAAAATACCATTACAAAATACCAATACCATTACCATGAACTTAGAAAAGTATCATTTACCTTTGTACTAGATATCCTTCTAGTACAAAGGCAAATGATGCCTCAAAGCAGAGAAATGAGCACCTGTGGGATCACAAAAGTTCAGACAACCAAGAGAAAAACTGAAATAACGAATTCAGAACTTTAGGTACTACAATTAACATACTGGTGATGAGTGCTAAAATCTTCCATTTAACTAGCAAAAATCAAGTTGTCAGGGATGATAAGGATAGAAAAGAAAATACGTAAAAGGTTATACTAACTCTGCTCTAAAAAACAAGTATTTTAAAAATGAATAAAATGGCCGGGCACACTGGCTCACGTCTGTAATCCTAGCACTTTGGGAAGCTGAGGAGAGTAGATCAACTGAGGTCAGAAGTTAAGAGACCAGCCTGGCCAACATGGTGAAACCCCATCTCTACAAAAAAAAAAAAAAAAAAAAAAAATTAGTGGGGCATGATGTTGAACGCCTGTAATCCCAGCTACTCAGGAGGCTGAGGCAGTAGAATCGCTTGAACCGGTGGGGGAGGGATGGGGAGTGGCGTGGCAGCAGAGGTTGCAGTGAGCCGAGATTGTACCACTTCACTCCAGCCTGGGTGAAAGTGCTAAGAATAAAATATATAGAAAATTTATCTTTCCTCTACGTGATCTCTTAAGAACTAATATTCTTACAATGAGAAAATATATAACTAAAGTTCACAAATCCCTTCGCTTTTTCCATCACGTTCACTCTTTTTCTATTAATTTGTATAAAATTGCTTGTTAACAAAACACAATTACATGGTAATGCTATTTTCAAGAATTGTTTCTATCTAGGTATCAGACTTTCTATCTGCTGACATGCATGAATGTCTGGAATAATGCCACTTAATATTAAGCAATGATTTTTTTTTTCTGATGGTGAGATTAAGTGAATTTTTGTCTTTACTGCTTCAATTGTTTATCATTTTAACAAAATTCAAGTCATTATTCAAAATAAGAAAAATAAAACCTCTCCCTATTGGGCAACAAAGCCAAGTTTTAAAAAGTTCTGCTGGACAGGCACAGTGGCTCACCCCTGTAATCCCAGCACTTTGGGAGGCCGAGGCGGGCAAATCACTAGAGGGCAGGAGTTTGAGACCAGCCTGGCCAACATGGTAAAACCCTGTCTCTACTAAAAATACAAACAATTAGTCGGGCATGGTGGCGGGCACCTGTAATCCCAGCTACTTGGGAGGCTGAGGCAGGAGAACTGCTTGAACCTGGGAGGTGGAGGCTGCAGTTAGCTGAGATTGTGCCATAGCACTCCAGCCTGGGCAACAGAGTGAAACGTTGTCTCAAAAAAAAAAAAAAAAAAAAAAAAAGTTCTGCTATGTAATCATTAATTCGGGACATCATTTCCTGAATGGCAGATGAATAGTATCATTTCTAATATTTTTTCCAGTGGCAATATGATGAAAAGTATTTTTGTTCCAATTAAAACATTGATTTAATCCCTTTTTAGACTACAAATAGAGGAAGAAATGATTTCTTACCTTCTGAGCACACAAAGCACCAGCTAACATTAACATGCTCATGATTTCGGCAGCCCCGCCTAGGGGTAAAGTGATTAGGGCAGATGATACTATTAGATGCAAGGATCTTTGACCCAGCAGCCAGGCAAAAGTCATTGGCGTGGTATGCCACAGGACAGCGGACACAGCGCATCAACCGACCTAAAGCAGGAAAATCAGGGACAAGCAAAAGAAAAACAAAAATATTAAATATAAAAAGAATGTGAGTTATTCAAGTCTATTTGTTAGCACTGAAAAAATGTCACAAATAGAAGGAATGACCACTAAGATGATGGATCTTAAACACTCGATCCATCAAGAAAACTCAGATGGGAGCTATGTGATAAGTCTCCAAAAGGAATCAAATCCCGTAACTGTCAGTGAGCCTGCTTCAACAAGGGAAAGCCCAACTCAAACCACTGTCCTGACAACTAGGAAATCAGCCCCAGAATAAATAGGGAGAGGGGAGACAACAATAATGCTTGCCTGGAACTCTGTGATTCTTTTAAAGCCTTTCAAGTGAACGAACCTCTCTACCCTCTCCAGAGGAAACACATCCCCTCAAATACTTCATCTATTATAAACCATCACGAAACCACCACCAAACCCTCTAATGCAATCTGTAATAACAATTAAAAACGAGAAGGTAGCCAACTGCAACTCTTTTCATTTTTCTTTGTATTAATAAAGACATGGGGTTTCCCTGTGTTGCCAAGGCTGGACGTGACCTCAAAGTCTGTGTGCTCAAACAGTCTTCCCACTTCCTGCTTTACCTTCCCAAGAAGCTGGAAATACAGGTGTACACCATCACACTCATCGAAACTGCAATTTTGATCCAACAAGTGAAATTACTTATGAGACCCATGAGGCCAGGAAATAATCCTAAAAAAGGTACTGACAGTCTGATTAAAACAAACATCAACACTGCTAAATTTTACCTCCTCAATCCTCTATGGAAAAAGTCAAGGTTCTTTTGGCACACATGAATTCACCAGCAGAGATACAGTATTGGGTTTTTCCAGGCGCGGTGGCTCAAGCCTGTAATCCCAGGACTTTGGGAGGCCAAGGCAGGCAGATCACCTGAGGTCAGGGGTTCCAGAACAGTCTGGCCAACATGGCGAAACCCCGTCTATACTAAAAATATAAAAAGTAGTCGGGAGTGGTGGCAAGCACCTGTAATCCAAGCTACTCCAGGGGCTGAGGCAAGAGAATCTCTTGAACCTGGGAGGTGGACATTGCAGTGAGTTGAGATCACACTGGGCAACAGAGCGAGACCTCCTGTTTTAAAACAAAACAAAACAAACAAAAAAACACATGCTGGGTGCAGTGGCTCATGCCTATAATCCCAGCACTTTGGGAGGCTGAGGCAGGCAGATCACCTGACGTCAGGAGTTCGAGACCAGCCTGACCGATATGATGAAACCCTGTCTCTACTAAAAATACAAAAATTAGCTGGGCATGGTGGCATGTGCCTGTAATCCCAGCTAGTCAGGAGGCTGAGACAGTAGAATCATTTGAACCCAGGTGGTGGAGGTTGCAGTGAGCCAAGATCGAGCCATTGCACTCCAGCCTGGGCAACAAAAGTGAAACTCCATCTCAAAAAAAAAAACAACAACAAACAACAACAACAACAAAAACAACTTGTTTTACCAAAGAGAACACATTTCAAAACTTAAGTTTACCTATATGCACAGACAGTTTTGGAAAACTCAGGTCTCAGCTTAACTATGAAGCAGAAGAAAATTTCTAGGACAAGAGTTTTCATTAAAAAAACAAACAAACAAAAAACAAATCAACACGAAACCCCCAATCCTGCCTTGGCATGCATTTCTGAATGATATCACACTGAAACCAGAGATATAAAAATGGCCGGCCGGGCGCAGTGGCTCACACCTGTAATCCCAGCACTTTGGGAGGCCGAGGCAGGCAGATCACCTGAGGTCGGGAGTTCAAGACCAGCCTGACCAACATGGAGAAACTCTGTCTCTACTAAAAATACAAAATTAGCGAGGCATGGTGGCTCATGCCTGTAATCCCAGCTACTCGGGAGGCTGAGACAGGAGAATCGCTTGAACCCGGGAGGCAGAGGTTGCGGTGAGCTGAGATTGCACCATTGCACTCTAGCCCAGGCAACAAAAGCGAAACTCCATCTCAAAAAAAAAAAAAAAAAAAAAAAAGGCCCAGGGGGGCCACGCGTGGTGGCTCACGCCTGTAATGCCAGCACTTTGGGAGGCTGAGGTGAGTGGCTCACGAGGTCAGGAGATCGAGGAGACTGGGTGACAGAGCAAGACTCCGTCTCAAAAAAAAATAAAATAAAATAAAATAAAATAAAAAAAAAGCCCAGGGGAAGACTACACTCTGGTTTTCTAATCAATAGGGGGAAGAGGACATGCAGCAGAACACTTTCTCAAACTACATCTCACATGAAATCCAAATATTTAATACCCTACCACACGACCACATTGTGTTCTATGGAGCCCTGGCATTGCCTGGCTGCTGAACTAGTTCGTTATGCCCCTCTTCTCTCCCAAATACAATGTTGGTAATCTCTCTGATAAAAGCTAGAGAGAGGCCATAAAGTGACATGGTGGATTGATTGCATTTGAAAATATCTGTTGCCGGCCGGGCGCAGCGGCTCACGCCTGTAATCCCAGCACTTTGGGAGGCCGAGGCAGGTGGATCACGAGGTCAGGAGATCGAGACCATCCTGGCTAACACGGTGAAACCCCGTCTCTACTAAAAATACAAAAAAATTAGCCAGGCATGGTGGCAGGCGCCTGTAGTCCCAGCTACTCAGGAGGCTGAAGCAGGAGAATGGCGTGAACCCAGGAGGCGGAGCTTGCAGTGGGCCAAGATCACGCCACTGCACTCCAGCCTCGGCAACACAGCGAGACTCTGTCTCCAAAAAAAAAAAAAAAAAAAGAAAGAAAAAAGAAAATATCTGTTGCCAATTAAACTGAGGTTTTACAATTAGACTGGTCCACATAAGAAATCCATACCTTTAGATGCAGAAACATTGGCTGGATTAGCAGCATGACAGGTTATACAGATGTGGAGGGAGCACCGGAAGCCCTTGTTCTGCATAACAGTGGGTGGGTACTTCTGGACACACTCTTCATGGTAAAACTTTCCACACAAGGGTAGAAGGCACCTTTTAACATCTTCCCCACTCTGCTTACATACAAAACAGGTATGGATTCCTGAGAAGCCAAAAGAAGATAAATTAGTAAGAATTCAAGAATCTACCAAATGCTAAACCATTAGGTGAAAAGTTCATAAGAAATTTTATAATGGACTGATCGGTTTGACATCGTCTGAACCCACTGTAACAATCTTAGTATTATTATAAATGAACAATCTGGTAATAGATACTCCCTGACGTGATACAACAGAAAGTACATATTGTCTACAGAAAATGCTTGCCGCTGGCACCCCCGCCAAAAAAAGAAAAAACTGAAATTAAACCTAATCAAGCCCCTGGACTAACTACAAGTTTACAGGAAATATGGATGACAGAGGAACAAGTTAAGGGGATACCTCCAGGAGGCAACCAACGAAATTTAAGTTGGGCTGGGAGAGGAGGCTCACGCCTACAATCCCAGCACTTCAGGAGGCTGAGGTGAGTGGCTGGCTTGAGTCCAGGAAGTCGAGGCCAGCCCAGGCAACGTGGCAAAACTCCATCTCTACTAAACATACAAAAATTAGCTGGGCGTGGTGATGCATGCCTGTGGTCCCAGCTACTCAAGAGGCTGAGGCAGGAGGATTGCTTGAGCCTGGAAGGTGGAGGTTTACTGAGCTGAGATCACACCAGTGCACTCCAGCCTGGGTGATAAGAGTGAGACCCTGCCTCAAAAAAAAAAAAAAAAAAAAAAAAAGTGTGGGGGCAGTATTGTTAAAGATAAGTAGAAACTTAAGAGATGTATAAAAAAGTTTACACTACAGGAAATCACCCGACATACAATGCTGGTAATCTCCCTAACAAAACCTACAGAGACGTTTTTGGCCTCTCTCTGGATCTAGATCTTGATTCAAAACATAATAAAAAGACATCCCTGAGACAAATGAGAAAATTTGAAAATGAACTGGCTGGTAGATGACACAAAGAAGTTATTACATATTCTCGCTATACATTAGATGTTGTGTTAGAAACCTTTTGAAATATAGGGAGAAAATGAGAGAGAAGTTGATAACTACTGAAATTAACTGAATACATGGAGATTCTTTACATTGTTCTACCCTGGTGTATGTCTTAAGATTTTTGTAATAAAAAGTCAAAAACCACCCAGAAGCAATGTACTCAGCACTTGGGAGGCTAAGGCAATTGGATCACTGGAGGCCAGGAATTTAAGCCTAGCCTGGGGAACATAGTGAGACACCGTCTCTACTAGAAATACAAAACAATTAGCTGGGTGTGGTGGCAGGCGCCTATAATCCCAACTAATACAGAGGCTGAGGCACGAGAATCTCTTGAACCTGGGAGGTGGAGGTTGCAGTGAGCTGAGATCACACCACCGAACTCCAGCCTGGGCCACAGAAGGAGACTGTCTCAGAAAAACAAAACAAAAAAACAAAAAAACAAAACAAAACAAAAACCACAGACCTCTATCTCTCTGTGAGATGCAGTACAACATAAGAAAAAGAGCCTAAGCTTGACAGGTAAACAGACCTCAACATGAATCCTCCTACAGGTAATTGCTGGAAACGGCTCATTCAAATCATCCATTTTATCTATAAACACTGAGAACATCCAGCAAATAAATATTTTAAGAACAATATTTGAATATGTATTTGTAAACAGGGAAAACACTACCTGATGCTGAATAACTGGTAACTTTTTTTTTTTTTTGAGACTCAATCTCCCTCTCTCGCCCAGGATGGAGTGCAGTGGCATGTTGTCAGCTCACTGCAACCTCCACCTCCTGGGATCAAGCAATTCTCGTGACTTAGCCTCCCAAGTATGTGGGATTACAGGCACCCACCGCCATGCCTGGCTAATTTTTATATTTTCAGTAGAGACAAGGTTTCACCACATTGGCCAGGCTGGTCTCAAACTTCTGACCTTAAAAAATCCGCCCACCTTAGCCTCCCAAAGTGCTGGGATTACAGGCGTGGTAGCTATTATTAAACCTAAGCAATCTAAACAATGATGTGACCACCCTATTGCAGGAAAATAGGGTGAGCCAAGAGCACTAATAAGTGACTCCCATTTCTTACACTGTACCAAAACTGGTAAAATGTCCTACTCTCAAAGATAATAGCTTTCCTAGGAAAAAGAGAAAAAAACCCACAAATTTAAAAAACCAAAAATAAAAAAATTCTATCTTCTCTATACCTCATGTCATATGCAAAACTTTAATACAAAACACATCACAGACCTAATAGTGAAATGTGAAACTAAAAAATTCTATGAAGAAAACACAGAACTAAAAATCTTTGTGACACTGGTTGGACGTGGTGACTCACACCTGTAATCCCAGCCCTTTGGGAGTTTGGGAGGCCAAAGCAGGTGGATCATCTGAGGCCAGGAGTTTGAGAACAGCCTGGCCAACATGGTGAAACCTCGTCTCTACTAAAAATGCAAAAATTAGCTGGGCATGGTGGTGCACGCCTGGTATCCTTGCTACTCGGGAGACTGAGGCACAAGAATCGCTTGAACCCAGGAGGTGGAGGTTGCAGTTAGCTGAGATCACGCCACTGCACTCCGGCCTGGGTGACAGAGTGAGACTCTGTCGCAGATTAAAAAGAAAAAAAACAACAACGAAACTTTGTGACACTGGGTTAAGCAAAACTTCTTAGCTATGACAGCAAATCACAGTCCATAAAAAGAACAAATTGATAAACTGGATTTCAAAAAATTAAGAACTATTAGTCTTACAAATACATCACTAAGAATATGAAAAAGTTGGCCAGGTGCAGTGGCTCATGCCTGTAATCCCAGCACTTTGGGAGGCCAAGGAGAGTGGACCACCTGAGGTCAGGAGTCCGAGACCAGCCTGACCAACAGGAGAAACCCCGTCTCCACTAAAAATCCAAAAATTAGCCAGGAGTGGTGGCACATGCCTGTAATCCCAGCTACTTGGGAGGCTGAGGCAGGAGACTTGCTTGAACCCAGGAGGCGGAGGTTGCCGAGACTGCGCCATTGCACTCGAGCCCGGGTGACAGTGCAAGACTCTGAAAAACAAAAACAAAAACAAAAACCGAAAAAAGAAAATGTGGCCAGGAATTGTGTGTTACACCTATAATCCCAACACTTTCAGAGGCTGAACGAGGAGGACTGCTTGATCCCAGGACTTCAAAACCAGCCTGGTAATAATGTAATAAAATCCTGTCTCTACAAAAATATTTTAAAAAATTAGCCAGGCATGTGGCAAGCACCTGTAGTCCCAGCTACTAAGGAGGCTGAGCCAGAAGGATAGCTTGAGCCTGGGAGGTTGAGGCTGAAGTGAGCCAGAATCATATCACTGTACTCCAGACTAGGCGACAGAGAGAGACCCTGTCTCAAGGAAAAAAAAGAAAAATGGGAGGGGGAGGGAAGGGGCAGGGAGGGTACAAAGTGTCCAAAAACTTGAATGTTCTCAGCAGCTTTATTTATAATAACCAAAACGGGAAACAACCCAAATGTCTATCAACAGATGAATGGATCAACAACCAAGTAAATCCATACAACAAACTACTACTCAGCAATAAAAAGAAATGAACTATCAATACACACAACAACCTGACTGAATCTCAAAATAATAATGCTGAGTGATGATTTCACAGATGCATACATATACACATACCAAAATTTATCAACTCATAGGCCTGAAATATGTGCAATTGTTTGCACTTCAATTTTACCTTAATAGAGCTGTTTTACACACTCAAAATGATTTTTCTCTTGACCCTATAATATCCTCCCTTTAGGTACTGTCTTCCTTTCTGCTGAAGTCAAGTTTCTTCAAGAAGTTATGTATACGGCTATCCACTCACCCTTCAATCTAGTGTAATGAGACATCCTCTGGCAAAAATTGAAGCATTTTCTCACTGCCACATACAAAAGCCTCTCTTCACTCCAGAACCTCCTTAGTATCTTTGCTGCATCTGCCCCTACAGATAACACCTGACTCCTGTGGCTTCAGAGATATTGACTAGCTCCTCCTCTCCTTCCAGTAACTCGTTATAAGAGCATATACGCCCAGGTAGTGTCACTGACCATTATCCTACCCTAATGACACTTTTTCTTTGGGAAGTATCATCCAGATGTGCAGCTTCAATGACTTACAGGCATAAGATCTATACCTCAGCCCTGATTTCTTCACTGTTTACATGCTGTAACATCTACACATCATGCTAAGAAAAAAAAAAAAAAAAGGGAGAGAGAGAGCGAGAGAACACTTTCCAGCCTGGGCAACATAGTAAGACCCCCTTTCTCAACAAAAAATAAAAAAAATTGCCCACGCATGGTGGCAAGTGGTTGCAGTCCCAGCTACTTGGGAAGCTGAGTTGGGAGGATTGCTTGAGCCCAGGAGCTCAAGACTACAATGAGCTATGATCACGCCACTGTACTCAAACCTGGACAACAAGACCTCATCTCTTATTAAAAAAAAAAAAAAAAAAAAAAAAAAAAAAGAACACTTTACTTTAGCGCAGCTTTATGAAGTGCTTTACCAGCTGGTCTCAGCTGACTATTCCTATTTTCTAACCCAATCTAAGCATTATAACCCGCAAATAATCTTTTTACTTTTTTGGTAAATATTTTTATCGATGTATAATGTACACACCATAAAGTACACGCATCCTAAGAGTATAGTTGATGAAGTAAACATGCTCATGTAATCACTACGCAGATTAAGAAATATAAAATATTACCAGTAACCAAGAAGCCCTCTTAGTTACTGCCTATGCCTTTTACCTAAAATATCCTAAACTCTATAAACACATTGGCCTGTATTCCATATTCCCCAAATGTTTTACACGCTTTCATTACTAGACCTTCTGCACTTCCCCTCCCGACATCAATTTCTCTTTCTCTCTTAAAGCTAAACACAGATATCTTCCTCTATGGCATCAGCTCATCTTTGCTTACATTACATTCTAAATGTATCACCAACACAATGCTTTTTGCACTGTATTATGCTACCCATTTATTATTCACTTGGTAGCTTTTCTGAAAGCAGTGACCCCACAGCACCATTTCTATATCTGTAACAACTAGCCCAGTGTTGCCACAAAATAGTGTCTCCAATAAATGTCTTTCCTGAAAAACTTAAAATTCAAACTTTCTTTGGAGGAAGACCGTTCGATATCTACTTTACCTGTGCGACATTCATTGCAGATAAATTTTCCTCTTGGCATCTCAGTCAATCCAAGGCACTCCAGGTGGAAAGCCCCACAGCACTGAGCCTCACATAACAGCAGCTCACCCAATTTTTCACAATTCTGTTAAGAGAAAGAAAACATCTATCTGTTTTTCCATGTTTGAGAATCAAGAGTAAAACCAGTGTCAGTGGGTTAAAGTAAACAAAGGTTAAAAGTGGCAGAAAAGGAGGTGAGAAAGAGGCAAGGGCCCGTAGTTGTAGATTTTAGTCTAGTTACAAAGGTGTACCATTGGAGAGCTTTAACAAAGGAAAGCTAAAATCAGGTATTCATTTTTAAAAAGACTGTTCTGACTGCTACATGGAAAACGAGTTCAAGAGTAGAAAGGTCAGAAAAGAGCATAGAGATAAACCAGAAAGCTACTGAATGGTTCAAGCAACAGACACTGGCTAGCTAGAGTTGGATCATAAAGTTCCAAAAGAGCTCCCACCAAGGTCTAAACAGCCCTTTTGGGACATACCTACAACCATCCCAGAGAGAGATCACTTTTCTGAAATAATCTCAGCTAAGATAGGGCCTCACTTAAGACAGGCGCTTAGGAAATAACAATGGGCATCTGTCACTATAAAACATTGTAAGATTTATCAATTTTTTTTTTTTTTTGAGAGGAAGTCTTGCTCTGTCGCCCAGGATGGAGTACAATGGCGCAATCTTGGCTCACTGCCACCTCTGCCACCCGGGTTCAAGTGATTCTCCTGCCTCAGCCTCCCGAGTAGCTGGGATTACAGGCATGCGCCACCATGCCCAGCTAATTTTTGTATTTCTAGTAGAGATGGGGTTTCACCACGTTGGCCAGGCTGGTCTCAAACTCCTCACCTCATGATCCACCCACCTTGGCCTCCCAAAGTGCTGGGATTACAGGTGTGAGCCACCGCACCCAGCCCAAATATTTTTAAAGCCTTGTACTACTATGAAAAGCAAACAAGGGGAAAGGTGACTAAGTAAGTTTTAGCTTCAAGAACTCATAGAAACAGAATAGGTCTTGATCACTTAAGAATCAAAGCTTAAATAAAAAACAGGACAGCTTTAGGGAGAAAGGTTAGAGAGGTAGCCTGGAATTGATAGGGGAACTCAGGGACTTTATCAACCTATAGTCTGAGATATCCTCAAATGTCTGACTCCCCATTATCTACTATTCACATATAAAAACTGAAAAATAGCACTATATATTGTACTTTGCATATTCAGAGTGCCAATAACGTTTCTATATATGGTAAAAAAAAAAAAAAACTGACCTTCAGCACTTAAATAGGAAAACGTTAATTACAACGTGAATTAGAAATAAAGTTTTTGCATTAACTAAATGTTATAGACTAATTATTCAACTGGGATAACCACGTAATTTATCTTTCAAACCGGGACACCTGAGAGTGAAAAGAAGTGCTATTAATAAATTGTGACAGCACAAGGGACCTACACAAAGACTGATCCAGACAAGCCAGGACCACAGGGTCACCTTACCTTTAACCTTTTCATTAAATGATCTTTGTAAAATGTATTTACACTCTGACTTGTCTCACTAAGTAAATAATGGGCATAACTGTTTTTGAGGATTAAGACTGTTGTTTGGGATCTGGTCCAAGAATGTAATAGTGAAGATAATAGGCAAAGAAACTGGATTGAAATTATATTGGCCACAATAACATTTTCTGGTCTGAGTTTACTTTTTTAGAGATCTCAACTTATTTATCTATTACTATTTATTATTTGTGAGATAGGGTCTCAGTCACCCAGGTGGGAGTGCAGTGGCATGACCATGGCTCACTAAAGCCTCTACCTCCCCAGCTTCAGGTGATCCAATGACCTCAGCCTCCCCAGCAGGGGAATTACAGGCACGAACTGTCATGCCTGGCTAATTTTTGTATTTTTGGCAGAGACAGGGTTTTACCATGTTGCCTGGCTGGTCTCAAATTCCTGGGCTCAAATGATCCACCCACCTCAGCCTCACAAAGTGCTGAGATTAGTGCTGTGCTTGGCCTATGGTTTCAATTTAAAAAAGAAGAACTGGCCGGGCGTGGTGGCTCACGCCTGTAATCCCAGCACTTTGGGAGGCCGAGGCGGGCAGATCACGAGGTCAGGAGATCGAGACCATCCTCGCCAACACGGTGAAACCCCATCTCTACCAAAAAATACAAAAAATTAGCTGGACATGGTGGCGGGTGCCTATAGTCCCGGTACTCAGGAGGCTGAGGCAGGAGAATGGGAGGCTGAGGCAGGAGAATGGCGTGAACCCAGGAGGCGGAGCTTGCAGTGAGCAGAGATCGCGCCACTGCACTGCAGCCTGGCCGACAGAGCGAGACTTCGTCTCAAAAATAAATAAATAAATAAATAAATAATTAATTAATAAAAAAGAAAAAAGAAAAACTAACATCCTCAAGTTTTTTGTTTATTTAAAAGACAAGTCTGTAATCTTGACCTGTTGGGCTACAGGTATGAGCCACTACAGCTGGCTAATTTAAAAAAAAGACAAATTTTTTAAAAATAGAGACAGGGGTCTCGCTGTGCTGCCCAGACTGGTCTAGAACTCCTGGCCTCAAGCAATCCTGCTGCCTCAGCTTCCAGAAGCACTGTGATTGTAGGTATGAGCCACTGCGCATTGCCTAACTTCAAGTTTGTATATACTAAATTTTAAGAATTACATAGGTAAATCAAGACCATTAAAAATATATATATTCAAATGGTCATTGACTCTACTCACAAAGACTTCAAGTCTCTAACAATAAAGTGGAATCCCCTATCTCACAGAGAGGCAATCCAACAAAATGGTTAAGACTCTAAACCAACCAAGTCCAACGGAGCTTAAAGGTTAGAAAAACGGAGAGGGAGACTCTAAATCCAGACTGCCGAAGTTTAAATCCAGGCTTCTCTCATGAATATAAACAAGCTATTTATCCTCTCTGTAATTTAGTTTCCTCATCTGCAAAATGGGAATAATCATAGAACTCTACTTATGAGATTATTAGGATGACTAAATAATGTAATATTTATAAAGTGCTTGGAACAATACTTCATACATAGTAAATACTCTACAAATATTTATTAAATAAATAAAACAATATAGGTGGTAGGCTTTCTAAAGTCACCACATTAAAGGAAAAACATCTCAAAGCTAAAATTACCCTTGAAAAGTTTCTTACAAACCCAAAGATTGTGACACCATGAGAAGTACTGGAGAATTATATTTGAATAAGCAACCAGAGATTCACATATTCCATCTCAGACTTGTTTCGCGGCATATATTCCTTCATGGGCCTTAAGGGCACGTGGTTCACCAACACTAAACTATTTCTCCAAGTATCTTTCTTTGTGGGGAGAAAAAAAGGGGTCAAATCCTTAAAGAAAGTGACTCCACTGGAATCATCCAAAAGCATTGTTATTCTACCAAGAAACCATCATAAAGAGATGGAGTGGGTTTCCCTTTAAAGATGAACATGCAATGAAAACACAAGTGGGCAAACATTTCTCTACCTGACAGACATTCTCCTTGAGTGCAGCTCCTCCACCGCGTTCACCCTGCATTTTTTTAGAGGCAGGCATCCCGGGATCGTGTTCTACACCTTCCTCAACAGTCTCCTTGGGGCTTGTGGCCGTCCTGTGAGGCATTAGTTCTCCCTTGCAAAGAAAAAATAATGTCCCACATCTGTATTATTGATGTCTCTTCCATTTGACCCCCTCCCTCTGGGCTGCTATTTGTCTAGCCATTAAGCACTTACAGATGTTCAGCCAATCACTCGGGCGGACTGCATGCAATGTTAGTTCTAACCCTGCTGTGATTGGGCGGGTAGTGGGCGCCTCATGCCCTGCCACTAACTGCTCTGAGGCTGTTTGTTCCACTGGAACTTTCTGAGCTGTTCCATTTTAAGGTTTCACTAAGGGAGAGAAAACATTCTTAAGTTTATTTGATTACTTATTTGTCCTTCCAAGATCAGTGTTTCCTAAATAATGCCCCTCTTGGGCATTCTATTCAAATTGTCCTGGAAAGAAACATTCTGCATCATAATGTGTGATGCTGACCTGACTTCTCTCTTTTAACCTGAGTTGGAAACCCGAAGATAATATCAATGATTGCACTGATGCTTTGCAAGTAAATGGTTTTAAATCTTTTGTTTCCTGAAGGCCGATATTCATAAAAATTGTCCTAAGATTAAGTAGCTGATGGTCTCAAGAAATAAGCAAGTAAATCTTCCCGCTAACCACAGCAGTCTCGATTTTTTTTTTTTTTTTTTTAAGTAGAGACAAGGTCTCACTGTATTTCACAGGTTGGTCTCGAAATCCTGTTCTCATATGATCCTCCCACCTCAGCCTCCCAAAGAGCTGAGTGGCATGAGCCACAACGCCCAGCCAGCAGTCTCAATTTTTTTCTTTTGCAACAGAGTCTCATTCTGTCACCCAGGCTGGAGGGCAGTGGCATGATTTCGGCTCACTACAACCTCTGCCTCAAGGGTTCAAGTGATTCTTGTGCCTCTGCCCGATTAGCTGGAATTATAGGCGCATGCCACCACACTCAGGTAATTTCTGTATTGTTAGTAGAGATGAGGTTTCACCATGTTGGCGAGGCTGGTCTCGAACTCTCAACCTCAAGTTATCTTCCCGCCTCGGCCTCCCAAAGTGTTGGGATTACAGGCGTGAGCCACAGCACCTGGCCAGTCTCAACTTTTATAGGACAGTATCTATGTTCCTTCAGATCATATGTTGACTTGATATTGTACTCTCCGGTTTTACAAGTTTACTTAACGATGAAACACTTATATACCTGATTGGACACCTACAGCATAGGATGTGATGATCTTTTAAAAAGACCATATTGACAGCTGCAATACATGCCTTGCCTTATTATTAGGATAAGGCTCTACTTTTCCTCCAAGATTCCTTATGGCCATCAGCCATTTCAGTAGAATAGTATTCTTAAGAAAACTCAAGGGAAAGAGGGATGTGGCCTCTGGCGTGAAAAGTAGCTTCTCTTTAGAAGGTGAAAAGATCAGGAACTGAGTAATACCTCTGAGCCTGGAATCTCTTTTGACGAGTCATCATTTTTCACTTTTTTACACTGCATCTTGGCTGCAGCATGCCTCTGTCGTTTTCGCTTCCTTGGCTTGTCAAATATCTTGGTAGTGCCTATGACAGGAAAATAGGTGTTAACTGCTGGCTACTAACACACATGTCCAAAATCTCTTATCCTATTATTAGAATAAAAACCAACCTTAAAACTCATTTAATTCTCCAGCTTTGTGGATTAGGAAAACGGGGGAAATAATAATTGAGACTAACTCATGATGACATAACAAGAAGGGAAATGGCTACATATATGTAACTGCTCCCTCATATAGATTAAATAGTAAGTGTATAGGTTATTACAGAAATTTTAATTTATATGATTGAAATGACAAATCTTGTAGTTCTTCAAAGGAATTAAATCCTATAGATGAAGGGGAAATGCATTTTACTAGTCATCAAAAGATACCACTCCCTAGACTTCAAGACTGGAGACAATAATACAAATCACTATATGATTTAAAGATTAAGGACTGGGCACCGTGGCTCAAGCCTGTAATCCCAGCACTTTGAGAGGCTGAGGCCGGCAGATCACATGAGGTCAGGAATTTGATACCAGCCTGACCAACATAGTGAAATCCTGTCTCTACTAAAAATACAAAATTAGCCAGGCATGGTGGTGCATGCCTGTAATCCCAGCTACTCAGGAGGTTGAGGCAGGAGAATCACTTGAAACCAGGAGGTAGAGGTTGCAGTGAGCCGAGATCATGCCACCGCACTCCAGCCTGGGTAACAAGAGCGAAACTCCATCTCAAAAAAAAAAAAATAAATAAAAAAAATAAAAGGATTAAGATGGAGGGTTGAGGCTGGGCAGGGTGGCTCATGCCTGTAATCCCAGCACTTTGGGAGGCCAAGGTGGACAGATCACGAGGTCAGGAGATCAAGACCATCCTGGCCAACATGGTGAAACCCTATCTCTACTAAAAATACAAAACAAATTAGCCAGGCGTGAGGGAGTACATCTGTAGTCCCAGCTACTCAGGAGGCTGAGGCAGGAGAATCGCTTGAACCTGGGAGGTGGAGGCTGCAGTGAACCGAGATTGTGCCACTGTACTCCAGCCTGGGCAACAGAGCCAGACTCCATCTCAAACCAAAAAAAAAAAAAAAAGAAAGAAATTCTTCTAGTCCCTCCTGCACTTTCTGTTAAACACATTTCAACTGTGTTATAGAAACATAAAGAGGAATCTAAGAGGTATTTCATAAAACATTTAGGATATCTGTGCTAGTTAACAGTATGAAAGCTGGAGTTTTGAAGACTGCCTCAGTGAGCTCTTTTTTGACTGCCTGATTGAGTTGGAGAAGCTCTGCCATCAAAACTGCTCGCAGCCTAACACTAAAAGAAGAGTTAATATGAGCACAATAGAAAGATTTGAAATTCTCATGAGCTGGAACACTTAACACAAAATTTATAATGGATAAAGTTCATGTTGTAGGTTTTATTTTAAAAACGAAATATAAAAATACAGGAAAAGAGCTGTTGTTATTATTATTACTACTATTATTTTAAGAGACATGGTCTCGCATTGTTGCCCAGGCTACAGTGCCTGGTGTGAGCAACAGCTCTCTGTAGCCTCAACCTCTCGGGTTCAAGGGATCGTTCCTTGAACATGTTAAGCTACATGTCAGCTTAACAAGTAGCTGTGACTACAGAAATACACCACCATGCCTAGCTCATTTTTTTAAACTGTAGATAGAGACAGGGTCTCACTAAGTGCCGAGCCTGGTCTGGATGGAACACCTGGCCTCAAGTCATCCTCTTATCTTGGCCTCCAAAGCACTGAAATTGCAGTTGTGGGCCACCATGAACGGCCTGATATTATTTTGAAAGCAGCTTATTTTTAAATCTTACAAGCAAATTGACCAACCTATGGGATTACAATTGTCACATAGCTAAAATAAGCTAACATGTTGCTAGATTTACTTGTTAGAAAATTTAATAATCGTAGGCCACATGAAATATAATCTTCCCATGATACTCTTTGCTAGCAGACCACATCTGTTGCAGTGTGCTCAAATCTGGAATAATATTTCAAAAATGACACTAATCAATAAATGGCATTGGCAGACAAATGAAGAGTGGAAGAAAGAAGTGGCATGGAGAAAACCTGGGGTGGATAAGAAGACAGGAGTATGACCATGAAATTGGTCAGGTGTGGATTTAGTTCCCTGACCTTGCTACCTTGTTCATCTTCACATTTCTTCTATAAAACAGGAATACTATAGATAATAACCTAACTCTCTGTAACGCTTTAGAGAGATTACAGGTAGCATTCCTACTAAAAGTCCTGGTAGAGTAGATATTCAATTTATCAATATTTTTTCTTTTTCAGGAAGCAGATTTTGGGCAAACCAGTTTTAAAACTTGTACCTCACTGGTCGGGCTTACACATGTAACAATTTTTGTGGTTAACAGACAAAGCACTTCAAACTTACTACTGCATTACGTTTTTTAAATCTCAAAAATACTCACCTCCACCAAAATCTTTTGAATAAGATGTGGCACAAGATTCAGTTATGCCATTCTCCAGGTGACCAGCTTCATAGCACTATAAATAAGTGAAAACAACACCATTTACAGAGGAATGAAAAAATAAACCCTTTACTTTATATGCCAAAGTCTGAATTGTCAGCTGCCATGGATATTGAATTTTGACTTGTTTTAGCAATTAAAGAAATCAACCTGACCACAGTAAAGGGTTGAACGGAAACTTCAGGGGGAAAGGAATCAGATTTTAAAATGCTCCAACAGACAGGGCATGATGGCTCACACCTGTAATCCTAGCACGTTAGGAGGCTGAGGCGGGTGGATCACCTGAGGTTGAGAGTTAAAGACCAGCCTGACCAACATGGAGAAACCCCATCACTACTAAAAATACAAAATTAGTCAGGTGTGGTGGCACATGCCTGTAATCCCAGCTACTCAGGAGGCTGAGGCAGGAGAATTGCTTGAACTTGGAGAGGCAGAGGTTGCAGTGAGCCAAGATCGCACCACTGCACTCCAGTCTAGGCAACAAAAGCGAGACTCCATCTTAAAACAAAACAAAAACAATGCTCCAACAGACCTGTGAACACCACCTACTCCTTAAGAAAAAATAAAGACTTGCCAGAGATTTCCAACATATAGACTAGATACACAATGCTTTCTGTGACTGAAATGGATGGAGAAAGAGAAGGGGTATGTACCCAGAGATCCACAGGCTCAATTTTATTGCACTCCACCCTGTACTTAAAATCCATCTTCATGGCTGGGTGCAGTGGCCCATGCCTGTAATCTCAGCACTTTGGGAGGCCGAGGGGGGCAGATCACCTGAGGTCAGGAATTTGAATCCAGCCTGGCCAACCATGGCCAATATGGTGAAACCCCGTTTCTACTAAAAATTATACAAAAATTAGCTAGGTGCAGTGGCACATGCCTGTAATCCCAGCTACTCGGGAGGCTGAAGCAGGAGAACTGTTTGAACCCAGGAGGCGGAGGTTGCACTGAGCCAAGATCGCGCCACTGCACTACAACAGCCTGGGAGACAGAGCAAGTCTCAAAAAAAGAAAGAAAGAAAGAAAGAAAAATAACCCATCTTCCTACAATTGTATTCACAGCTATTAGATTTGACAGAGACCTGTTTACCTGGTGAACTGTAAATTAAACAGTTCTGAAATACTGAATGACATTCCAACTTAAAATGACTTCAGATTAATCCAAATTAAAGCAACATTAAAACTCAAAACAAATACTCAACATCAGGAGTCTAATCAAGAGCCACACATTTTATTCACCTCACCCACTACTAATATACTTCTATGAATTAGTTCCACCCCAAGCAAATGTCTTTTCCTACAAGAATGATGATATTCTTCATCATAACTGTAAAACAACATTTAGTGGTCACAAAAAGTTAGCATAGTAAAGGCCATTCTGGCTGGGCACGGTGGTTCACACCTGTATTCCCAGCATTTTGGGGGGCCGAGGCAGGCGGATCACCTGAGGTCGGGAGTTCGAGACCAGCCCGACTACCATTGAGAAACCCTGCCTCTACTAAAAATACAAAAAATTAGCCAGGCATGGTGGCACATCCCTGTAATCCCAGCTACTTCGGAGGCTGGGGTAGGAGAATCGCATGAACCTGGAAGGTGGAGGTTGTGGTGAGCCGAGATTGTGCCATTGCATTCCAGCCTAGACAACAAAAGCAAAACTCTGTCTCAAATAAATAAATAAATAAATAAATAAATAATAAAGGCCATTTTTGTTGTAGAGTTCCTAATGTTTGGAAGTAAAACAAGATAAAATACAGCTGTGAATTTCTGAATGCTCATTTTATCATATTAATAAATCATAAGACTGCAATTCTCCTCACGTTCACTATATATCAGAAGTCTATTTCAAGTAAAATGAATGGGCAAATGTCAGGTATCCAATTCAACAAAACGAGACTCCTAGACAAATCCACAAAATACATTTCTGTAATTTTTTTTAAAATAGCAATCATTTTATTTAGATAACAAATTAGTTCATTGTTTAACAGTTACCCAAAAGCTGTGGAACAAAATAATTACAATGCTCCCCAAACTACAGTCAGAGAATAATGCAGGAAATAGTCTCATTTCTATTATGATCAATTTTATAACTTAAAATAAAAATTAACAGCACACACACACACACATGCACACACACAACAATCATACCATATGAATAAAAATCAAACTATTCTGTTTAGAATGAAAAAGACCAAAGAACTTCTTAGAGGATGTGACTAAGATGCCAGTAACTTACTTTGTATATATAGTCTAGTGTGGATATACATTAAGCCAGAGTACCCTTAAAGCACTACCAGAACAGATCAATCTCTCATTCTGTTTGACATACTGATTAATCCACCTGCAGACAGGGTGGTGGTGTGCCTGGTAAACTAAAATGGAACTGAATCATGGCTTTAGCCTTATGACAAAATATACCTCAGAGTAACCAGGACTTCAACAATGAAGTAGGCCAGGTCAGATGGCAGGACAGACTCCCAAACAGACAAGAGGACACTTTTCTCCAGAGTTTGGTGCTAGCCATAACCAATAATTCTGATTTTCTCTTGCTCTGATCCCAAATTTAACGGCAACCCCCTCTCCCCAAAAGTAAAAATTCAACCGTGACGAAGAGTTATTAAGTATAATTAATACTTAAAAGATACTGGGAATCTAAGAGAGGGTGAGGATAAATATCAGGGAGTATTTTTTCTTTTTTTTTTTGAGAGAGAGAGAGTCTCGCTCTGTCGCCTAGGCTGGAGTGCAATGGCATGACCTCGACTCACTGCAACCTCTGCCTCCCAGGTTCCAGCAATTCTCCTGTCTCAGCCTCCTGAGTAGCTGGGATTATGCGCAGGTACCACGACGCCCAGCCATTTTTTTTTTTTTTGTATTATTAGTAGAGACGGGGTTTCACCATGTTGGCCAGGCTGGTCTCCAACTCCTGACCGCAAGTGATCTGCCCACCTGGGCCTCCCAAAGTGCTGGGATTACAGGTGTGAGCCACCGCACCCAGCCAATATCAGCAATTTTTTGGTAAATGGTGCTGAAACAACTGGACATCAATATGGGGGAGAACAAAACTCCATCTCAAAAATTCAAGATGGAACAAAGATCTATATGTGAAACCAGAACCAAAAAACTCCTAAAACACAGGGAGAACATCTTTGTGTCCATGGGGCACACAAAAATTTCATTTATTGATTGATTGACTGAGACAGGGTCTTGCTCTGTCACCCAGGGTGGAGTGCAATAGCGCAATCATAGCTCACTGCAGCCTCGACCTCTGGGGCTCAAGACATCCTACCACTTCAGCCTTCTGAGTAGCTGGGACCAGACATGCAACACCACACCATTTTCTGGGGTTTTTTTGGGACAGTTTTTTGTTTTGTAGAGACAAGGTCTCCTTTATTGCCCAGGCTGGTCTCAAGCTCCTGAGCTTAAGCAATCCTACTGCCTCGGGTTCCCTAAGTCCTGGGATTATAGGCTTGAGCCATCACAATAGATTTTTTATTTTTTTGAGACGGAGTCTCGCCCTGTCACCCAGGCTGGAGTGCAGTGGCGCCATCTCGGCTCACTGCAAGCTCCGCCTCCTGGGTTCACACCATTCTCCTGCCTCAGCCTCCCGAGTAGCTGGGACTACAGGCGCCTGCCACCACGCCCAGCTAATTTTTTGTATTTTTAGTAGAGAGGGGGTTTCTCCATGTTAGCCAGGATGGTCTCGATATCCTGACCTTGTGATCCGCCCGCCTCAGCCTCCCAAAATGCTGGGATTACAGGCATGAGCCACTGCGCCCGGCCACCATCACACTAGATTTCTTGAATAAAACACAAAAAGTATTTATCACATAAAAAAAAAATTGATACCCAGTCTCTACCAAAAAAAGACAAAAAATTAACTGGTGAGCCTGGGAGGCAGAGATTACAGTGAGCCAAAATTATGCCACTGCACTCCAGCCTGGGTGACAGAATCAGACCCTGTCTCAAAAAAACAAAACAAAAGGGCTACGACGACACGGCAATAGGAGAGTAGACTAGTGATATTTGAGATAGTAGTTTAGTAGAAAACAGGTAAGAGGATTTGAACCCAGAAAAGAAATTATAACAAACACAAACTTAATCTTCAAAGCATTTAAAAATTTTTTTCACTTGGAAAGGAAACCTGAAACCAGTTTATACACATACATGGTCACACAACTGCAAAACAGCCTTTCATGTAGGAAATCTCAGATCATGTATGACTGCTGACACACACACTAATTTCTATATGTATGTACATCAATGTTATAACTGCTACTCAAAATGTCATTTTTAAAATTTCTCATTTCCTGAGTTTATTTCTTTTAGAACTTACAAAAATAACATACCTTTTTAGAAAGGCCAAGGTCCCCCTTCTTGGGCATAAATCCAGGGTCTAAATCATTGGATTCAAGAAGTTTCTTAGTTGGTTTTCTTTGACGTTTACTTTCATAATTTCCTGAAATGCATGTATCTTTACATTAGATGATTTAGAAACTGGGCACAAGTTAATTTTTAAAAAATCTGTATACCACACAAAATGAATCTCAATGTTTTTGATGTTTTCCCCGTCATCTTATGGGAAGAGGCAGGATGGTAATTTGCTTATTATAAAATATTAGTAAACAAAACAAGTAAACAGTTTTCAATGCAAGCACCAACTAATGTGAGGGATGTGTGTGTGGTGACTTTAACTCACAAAATCACTAAGGGAGAAGTCAGAAGGACGGAACTGCCTTTATAACAACTGATTGTTGGTGAGGATAAAATAAGGAGAAGTGGAGTGAAATAGAACTTGGATCATGGTCATAAATGGACAAAGATTATAGTTTCTGCTCTGCCCCTAAGTAAATAAAATTCAATAGGTAAAAGATAATTCATAGGATCACTCAAGAATAATATAAAAGAGCTGACTTAATAGAGTTTTGGCACATAGTAGGTACTGAAATAATAACTATCTTTACTGTTCTTTCAAAAATCTTTTTTATTATACCCAACTAGTTTAAGCACAATTGGAATCGTTTCTTTAAGGAATAACATCAAAAGCTACTGTTGATAATGTAAAAAAGTTATATCCAAAATTTAAAGGGGTACAGAAAAGAGGATTCTTGCCATTCCTTGACTGACTATAATATTCAATAGTTACAAGGTGAATTAGAGACAATATGTTTAGATCCAACTCTCCCCAGGTGATATATAAAGAATGATCAAGTGAGAAGTAACTGGTAATTAACTTCTAATGAACTGGTAATTACTATGTTGTCAGGTATATAACATTACACATTAATACATTATGATCTCCATTTATAGATGAGGAAACAAGTTCAGAGATTAAACAACTTCCCAAGTAACACAAGGATTGGTGGAGCCAGCACTTGAAGCATAGTGCTTATTCCACTAATGTGCAGTACTCCTCTTGAAGCCCTGTTATCCTGGTTGTTAATTTACACAGTGGCTGATCAACAATCATGAAGAGCAACACTGGAGCAAGGAGCATAGTTATTAAAAATACATCTTCTTGATAGTGTGCCACAGTTCATGGTTAGTAACTATATCTAATTAACCATCATTTTAAGTATTTCCCAGGACAAAAGGGGGTAGTTTATTGTATATAGATACAATGTTGGCTTTACATCAAAACATACTAAAATCTCCTGCTTCCTCTAATCATATCTGCTCAAATACTGAGACCCCAACCCCACCTTACCTGGCGTTTTAACTAGCAATTCCTCAGACTCAAGGGCAGGCCGTGGAGAGACTTCCGGAGCCACAGGCACAGACAAGGTCAGCTGCGGCAACTCAGCATGTCCACCTCCAAGTTCTGACTGAGCCAAGGGGCCCTCCAAAAACGGAGCCTCCCTTTCAAGAACTGGAGGCTCTTCTTTGGTTGAAATCAAAGAATTCTCGTCCACCTGCTTGTTCTGAGCACTAGATCGACCTCGGGCTAGAAGGCTTTCCTCTTCACAGCGGGAACTTACCTAAGAACAAAAAATAAAAATAGAGTCCACAGGCCAAAATTGTTGTAATTTAAGTGTCAAAAAGAATAACACACTTTAAAAGGAATGAAATTCTGACAAAGGCTACAAAAAGTGGATGAACCTTGAAGACATTATGTATGCTAAGGGAAATTACTTAAGACACAAAGAACAAATATCGTATGATTTCAAGTATATGAGGTATCTAGAATAAGAAAATTCTTGAGACAGAAAATAGAATGGCAATTGCCAGGGGCTGAGCAGAAAAGGGAGTTATTGGTTAATGGGTATTGATTTTTAATTTGGAAAGATGAAAAAAATTATCGAGATGGATGGTGGAGATGGTTGCACAACAATCTAACTGTGCTTCATGCTACTGAACTGTACACTTAAAAATGGATAAAATAGGCTGGGCGTGGTGGCTCACGCCTGTAATTCCAGAACTTTGGGAGGCCAAGGCAGGCAGATCACGAGGTCAGGAGATCAAGACCATCCTGGCTACCATGGTGAAACCCTGTCTCTACCTAAAAATGCAAAAAATTAGCCAGGTGTGGTGGCGGGCACCTGTAGTCCCAGCTACTCGGGAGGCTGAGGCAGGAGAATGGTGTGAACAGGAGAGGCAGAGCTTGCAGTGAGCTGAGATCACACCACTGCACTCCAGCCTGGGCAACAGAGTGAGACTCCATCTCAAAAAAAAAAAAAAAAAAAGATAAAATAATAAAATTTACATTATATATATATATTTTTTTAACCAAAATTAAATGAAGTTGACTGAGATACACTGAAGCTATAATATTGATAAGTCCACAACAATAATTCAAAAGCAGGGGAAAGAGACTGCTCTAATGTCTCCAATTAAAACAACTACTAATGAACTCCTTAATGTTACAATTGGTAATTAATGGGAAAGAAAGAAGCACTTATTCTGCCTTTCAAGTATTTCAGGACAATAACAGAGTCCAATTAATGAAAGAGACTATCAGTTAATAAAAATAGAGAAAATAATAAAATCTGAAAGTCTTCATTTTGTAACCTCTAATAAAATTATTGATATAGGTAAAGATCTTCAACTGGGGTTTTCAAAAAACCATCAGGGAAGCTGGGCATGGTGGCCCACACCTGTAATCCCAACACTCTGGGAGGCTGAGGCAGAAAGATCACTGGAGCCCAGGAATTCGAGACCAGCCAGGGCAACATAGTGGGACACCGCCTCTACAAAAAAAATGTTGTCAAAAATTAGCCAGGTGTGGTAGTGTGCACCTTTGGTCCCAACTACTCAGGAGGCTGAGACGGAAACATTGCTTAAACCCAGGAGGTCAAGGCTGCAGTGAACCGTGTTCGTGCATCTCTGCACTCCAGCTTGGGCAAGACACTGTCTCAATTTTAAAAAAGAAAGAACAAACTGTCAGGGAATGGCTGATGGGAATAAAACATTTTTTAACCCTCTAATGTACAATATATTCCACATTATCATCTCTGATATAGTCTAGCTAAAAATGTTCAACTTTCAATCTATCAAACTGATAGGTTCTATCTTCCATTTGACAGAGAACAGGAGATAGAGAAAACAATCTAAGTGACACCTATGAGGAAGCAATTACACAAATACAGAAAGTAGATGACTTTATATGTCACTCTCTTATAGACATGATCATGATCATGAAAAAAGGGATTGTTCTGAATTCAAAGTGATTTGAGAACCATAACAACCAGTTACAATGAGCAGTCCTAGATTGAGTCCTGGTATGAATAATCCAAAGGTAAAGGTTAGGGGATAATTGATGAAATTTGAAAGACAGTTGATGTCAGATAAACAGATCTTATATAAGATGTAAATATGTTAAATTGATTATAAAGGAAAATGTTCCATTTTTTAACTACATATTAAACTATGTAGGGGTAGAATGTCAAGATGTCTCTATTTCATTTTAAAAAACTGAGTTGAAAAATAAGACAAATAAGATATATTTACTTTTGAAATTAGGGTCAGACTATATATATTTCACTTTATAGCCTATATTTTTACTTAAGATTAAATCATAACAATATTCCTAAGTCATTACTCTTTGAAGGCAAAGAGGGAAAAATATATACATAAATAAATACAATATGTAGATTCATTTATATATTTCCTGAATAACCACTAAATCCTAAGTACTGTGCTAGAAGCTGAGAATAAAAAACAAGATCTCAGTTAAGGAAATTATTGTTTCATGAAGATAAAGTATGACATTGAAGATAAAATTGCAGTTTCCTAAGGACCAGTGAAAGTTTGCTGAAATTTTGCAACATACCTTGTGCACCTGCTCCTGTACCTTCTTTTGTTTTTTCTTAGGAGCAAATATCTGATCATATTCTTCTGTATATTCCAAAAGCCACTTGCTTGGCTTCCTAAGGCGTTTCTTCTCTGACCGCACAGCTAAAAGATGATAAACAAATTCAACATTAATCAAAAAGCTTCAGGAAAACCCACTGTTTTTATGAGACCATCTGATACTCCCAAAAGTAACCAGATGGGAAACCACATAGTAAAATAGACTATGGCTTAAGATGCAAGAGGCACAAAATGGCTTATGTTTTCTCATATGCAAAAGGAGCTGGGGGGAGACAAAAGGACTTGTGTTACCTTATATACACAAATAATAGAATATATGTGGCCCATCCAAAATTAAGGAAAAGGTTAAATTTAAAGCCAGGTCTTATAGTCACTGACACCTGTACATATAAAGCTAATATATACCTAACAAAAATGTAGCATCTAGATCAGGTAAATAGGTAAAATACATCTTGAGTTACAGGCTAAGTATGCCTTATCTGAAACGCTTGGGATCAGAAGTGATTTAGAATTTTTCATATTTTGTAATATTTGCATATATATATAATAAGTTATCTTGGGGATGGGACCCAAATTGAAATACCAAACTCATTTATGTATTACACACATCTTCTATACACATAGCCTGAAGGTAATTTTACAAAATATTTATTTTCTACATTATACAAAGTTTGTGTACAGTGAACCATAAGAAAGCAAAAGTGTCATTATCTCAGCCACCATGTGGAATATCTGTGGTTGTTTGGCATTACCATCATTCCTGTCTCTGAATTTATGTGCTACTGACAGGCAAACATTTTCTTATACTTATTCACACATAAGTACTTAACAGTAAAAATATGACATACCATTAATACAGTGAAAAAGTAATGTGTGTTCAGGGTAGCTAAGCAGCACAGTAGTATCACGAGAATACATGTATCAGCTGATAAAAAAACAGTAATAACAATGTCGGGCTTTGTGTCTCCATCTATGATGCTGTGTTTTGATTAAAAGGTTACTGTATACTGTTTTATTTTATAAGGTAAGAAGAAACATCATCAGAAGCAATTAGGAACCAGGAAGTCCTCTAGGAATGAAGAGGCATTCTGTGGGATAGCTTTTTAAAATGTTTCCTCTAAAGTCATCTGTCTCATTAACAACGAGTATTGTCTAGAAGGATCTCATTTTATTCATTTCTTTATTTTTTGAGACGGGGGCTCACTCTGTCACCCAGGCTGGCGTGCAGCAGCATGATCTCAGCTCACTGCAACCTTCACCTTCCAGGATCAAGCGATTCTACTGCCTCAGCCTCCTGAGTAGCTGGGATTACAGGCGCCTGCCACCACACCCAGCTAATTTTGTATTTTTAGTACAGACAGCATTTCACCGGGTTGGCCAGGCTGTTCTCGAACTCCTGACCTCAAGTGATCTGCCCGCCTTGGCCTCCCAAAGTGCTGGGATTACAGGCTCTCGAGACACTGCGCCCAGCCCAAGGCTCTCATTTTATAAACTGACATGATTTCTTTTTCTGTTATGAATGAACACTGCTCTGGTCCTTCAATAAGCCCATCACATACATTAACCATGTCATCTATAGGTACTTTTTCTGCAGTGTTAATGTCATCTTCATTATCACAATCACTCTGATTCAGATCGATGTCAGCTCTATCACCATGTTGAACAAAGAAACGGGAGCCTCTTTGTCGATATTAAAAGCTTTCTTGTTATCCACTTCTTCCAGCTTACTGACAAATGGAAGGTATACTTTTTGCATATGTAAGGATGTTACACATTTTTCTCACTTTACTGAAGAAGCCATCAAAATCACCACCTTGTTCATTATCATCAGTGAACACAGCTGAAGGTCACAAGTGGTGCCAGGCATGCACAGCTGTACCTTTAGTCACTGTGTTCCAGACACTGACAACAGCATATATGGCATCCTTCACTCCTTTTGAAACCCTTTCACACCCATACATCTATTCACAGCTGCCAGCATATTCAAGAAAGCATTTTTATATTTACTCTTCATCAATCTAGGGATTCCCTGGTCATATGGCAGTGAAGTCACACTTCAGGGAAAGCACATGGCATAAACATTATTTTTGATAAAATTGCAGCTGCAGGATGAGCCGAAGAGTTTTCAAGGAGGAACAGTCATCATCCTGTCCAGCTTCCCTGAAATAAGCACCAACTACTGCTATAAAATGTTTGTGAAACCAATCAGAAAAGATGTCCCTAGATATCCATGCCTTTCTGTTAGCATAATAACGAACTGGTAAGAAATTCATGCCTTTGGGGCAGGTGCGGTGGCTCAGGAGTTCGAGACCAGCCTGGCCAATATGGTGAAAGCCTGTCTCTACTTAAAAAAAAAAAAAAAAAAAATACTAGCCAGGCATGGTGGCTCATGTCTATAATGCGAGCTACACCAGATGCCGAAGCATGAGAATCACTTAAACCCAGGAGGCAGAGGTTGCAGTGAGCCAAGATCTAGCCACTGCACTCCAGGCTGGGTGACAGAGCCAAACTTTAAAAAAAAAAATTTATGCCTTGGGGCTGGGTGCAGCAGCTCACGCCTGTAATCCTAGCACTTAGGGAAGCCAATGCAGGAAGATCACTTGAGCCCAGGAATTCAATACCAGCCCAGTTAACATAGTGAGACCCCATCTCTACTAAAAATAAAAATAAAAAAAAATAGCCAAGCATAGTAGCACACAGCTGTAGTCCCAGCTACCAGGGAAGAATGCTTGAGTCTGGAAGATCAAGGCTACTGTGAGCCATAATTGTGCCACTGCACTCAAGCCTGGACAACAGGGCGAGACTATCTCCAAAAAAAGAAAAGAAAAGAAATTCATGCCTTGAAATCACTAACAGTGAGAACACAAGCTTTTGCCTATCATAGCAAGTTTACACTTACACATGCCTGCTTAATTAGCACATCCCAGCACAGTTACTCTGTCCTAGTCATCCTGAATTCCTGTAGGGCCTGTCTCATCATACATGGTGGTCAGTCTAATACCATACTCTTCTGAAAGATGTTTCACACTTACACCACTGTCTAGTTTCTCCAAGAGCCTGACTTACTTTCTGCACTATACCTAAATTCTTCCTCCTTTCTTATTACTCTAATCTATGGGGATATCTTCAGGCTTTCTGAGAAGTTCAACAAAATCTTTATACCACAAAGCAGGAAAAAATTCTTTTTAATTTAAAAACACAATGAATAATGCAAGGAGGCTTTTGCCCCATGTGGGTTATTTTGGAAAACTTTCTGTTGGTGCATCCAGCCTGCACGTGTGCCATTTTATCACCTTTTATGGGTATAATTGCATGGGAAAATCCGGCTGTGCATGCAAAAGATACATCTAAGCTGAAGGGTGATGGAAGGATAGTTTTTCCCTGGGGGACGTTGAATAAACTCTGCTGTGTTCCTGTGTTCTGACTGACACATTGCATGATGTCAACTGTGGAATTTTCCACTTGTGGTATTATGTCAATATTCAAAAAGATTTCGATTTTGGAGCATTTTGGATTTCTGATTAGGAATGCTCAACCTGCATTTTAAACAACATCTCTATGGATTTTGTAGAATATCAGGAATGACATTTCAACAGAATATTATATAATCGGCACTACCACATGAATTTCAAAACCACTTTACAAACACTTCATCGATTTAGTATCATATGGTTGTATTACTGTCTCATGCTAAAAAACAGAGAACTATACATCTAAACAGAATTATCAAAAAACATAAAAGGCATGGGAGGCCAAGGTGAGCAGATGGTTTGAGCCCAGGAGTTCAAGAACAGGCTGGGCAACAAAGTGAGACCATGCCTCTACTAAACATAAAAATATAGCTGCCTGTGGTGGCACACACCTGCGGTCCCAGCTACATGTGAGACTGAAGCAGGAGGATGGCTTCAGCCCAGGAGATAGGGGCTGCAGTGAGCCAAGACAGTGCCACCACACTCAAGCCTGAATGACACAGCAAAACCCTATCTGTAAAAATAAAATAATAATAATATATATAACTGATTATATGTCATTATCCCAATAACATAAAAGTGTATGTCATGTATGCAAAAGGCAGGAGAATAAGATTTAATATATATGCAATTGCTTTATGGATCAAAAGAAAAGAAAAAATTGAAAGATTAAAAATGGAATTTTGGGTACGTCCTTTAAAAAAATCTTGTCACGGTTTGGGCGCAGTGACTCATGCTTGTAATCCCAGCACTTTGGGAGGCCAAGGTGGGCGGATCACCTGAGGCCAGGAGTTCGAGACTAGCCTGTGAACATGGAAAAACCCCGTCTCTACTAAAAATAAAAAATTGTGTAGTGGCGTATGCCTGTAGTCCCAGCTACTCAGGAGGGTGAGGAAGGAAAATTGCTTGAACCTGGAAGGTGGAGGTTGTAGTGAGTCGAGATCGTGCCACTGAACTTTAGCCTCCATCTCAAAAAATAATAATAACCTTGTCATGTTTTATGATCAAAATATTAAAGTATACATTTTTCTTCAAAGTAATGGTGAAAACAGCTAGGCAAAGTGGCCCACGCCTGTAATCCAAGTACTTTTGGAGGCACAAGCAAGAGGATTACTTGAGCCCAGGAGTTCAACACAAGCCTGGGGAACATGGCGAGACCTCGTCCCTACAAAAAGTTAAAAATTAGCCAGGTGTGGTGGCACGCGCCTGTAGTCCCAGCTATTTGGGAGGCTAAGGCGGGAGGATCACTTGAGCCCAGGAGTTTGAGGCTGCAATGAGCTAGGATTGTGCAACTGCACTCCAGCCTGGACAACAGAACAAAACCCTGTCTCAAAGTGGGGGCAGGGTGGTGACTTACACAAACCCATCTTATTAGTTAATTATTGAGGTGGCAAGGTCATAATTCCATCCCAAAGTCTCTCAAAACTCCCCATGAACATTTTTCATTAAAACAGATCCCTATGCTATCACATCATGCCCCTTTATCCCCATCCATCACTAACCCCCTCACACAAATTGGATCTCAATCCTAGACAGTCTCCTTCCTTTGTCTTCTTCTTGGCAGGTTCCATAGGCTAAGTCTTGTTGCATTTCCTCTTTTTTTTTTTTGAGTCGGAGTCTCGCTTTGTCGCCCAGGCTGAAGTGCAGTGGTGTGATCTCGGCTCACAGCAACCTTCACCTCATGGGTTCAAGTGATTCTTGTGCCTCAGTCTCCCGAGTAGCTGGGACTACAGGCACAAGCCACCACATCTGGCTCATTTTTCGGATTTTTAGTAGAGACAGTGTTTCATCATGTTGGCCCAGCTGGTCTCAAACTCCTGTCCTCAGGTGATCTGCTCACCTCAGCCTTCCAAAGTGCTGGGATTATAGGCTTGAGCCACCACGCCTGGCCACGTTTCCTCTTATAATTGCTGTTTCCACTCTACCTTTGGGGTTTGCTTCTCTCATAGAGTAACTTCTCAGACTAGGCTTCAATACTCCAGCTCTCTATTTCCTTGCAGCTCACAATGAAACCAGCAGATAGCACAAAAGACTGGAAATTAAAGTGAGAAATTCTGTACTGGATACATCTATTAGGTGACAGAGAACTTATGGCTCATAAAACCTAAAATATTTACTATCTGGCACTTTTCTACTTTGGTAGAAACGTCTACCAACTCTTTCCCTAAATAAAAAATAAAGTAACATACTGAGGCTGAAGCACGAGAATCACTTGAACCCAGGAGGCAGAGGTTGCAGTGAGCCAAGACAGCACCACTGCACTCCAGCCAGGGCGACCGAGTGAGACTTCGTCTAAAAAATAAAAAATAAAAATAAAACACAAATAGAGTAACATATTGTAAGTGAAACAGCATGGTGACAACTGAATGATTTTTAAAAAGATGTTTCCTGGGTGGGATGCAGTGGCTCATGCCTATAATCTCAGCACTTTGGGAGGCTGAAGCCAGCAGATCACTTGAAGTCGGGAGTTTGAGACCAGCCTGGCCAACATGGTGAAGCTCCGTCTCTACTAAAAATACAAAAACTAGCCAGGTGTGGTGGTGCATACCTGTAGTTGCAGCTACTCAGGAGGGTGAGACAGGAGAATCACTTGAACCTGGGAGGCGGAGGTTGCAGTGAGCCTAGATCGTGCCACTGCACTCCAGCCTGGGTGACAGAGCAAGACTCCACCTCAAAAAAATAAAAAAATACATAAAAAGATGCTTCCTGGCTGTTGCTAGGCTTCCCCTCTTTCTTCCTTGCCTCAACTACCCCAACTCCCTACCTATGTTCTCTCCCAGTTACAGCACTTTTCAGTTAGAAAAGCATGGAGAATTCACCTACTCTTACTACAGAGGAGCAAAGTGAGGCAAAAAAGTAAGTGATTTGCCAAGCTAAGATAAAGAATATATCAGGAACAAAGGAGGAATATGACCTTTTGGATACTGGAAGAAAATATCAAAATCCATAAAACTGCACAAGTCAATGGAAAGAGGAGTAATTATGCAAACCTTAATACAGGATATGTAGCAAATATCAAACAAAGCAAGAGCCAAATCACACTACCCCTAAGGTTCTCAGCAAATATGCCCTAATTCCTACCACACAACCAGTACGTCATGCCTACTATACAACTACAAAATGTCACTGTATTGTGAAGAAAGAGATAAATGACAAATACTGGATGAGTATAGCAATAGCCGTAGACCTCAGAGTATACACTACCAACTAAAATGATAAAACAGCCAAAAAGTTGAAACAGCCCAAATGTTAATCAATGAATGAATGAATAAATAAAATTAGGCATACATCTATGGTGGAATACTATTTAGCAAAAAAGGGGACAAATTACAGATGGTAAGTTTTTTTTTTTAAATCAGAAAAATATACCAAATGAGAAGAACAAGACACAAAAGATCACATATTGCATGATTCCATTAATATTAAATGTCCAGGGAAAAGGCAAATCTACAGAGACAGTCAACTATTGGTTCTCTAGGACTAGTGGTAGGAAGAGGGATTAACTATATACAGATTAGAAGGATCTTTACTGGGATGGTAGAAATGCTCCGAAATGGATTTACAGAGATGGTTGCATAACACATTAAATTTGCAAATAGTATTCGATTGTATACATAAAATGTACGAATTTCACAGTATGTAAATTATACCTTGGATAAAGTTAATTTTAAAAAGTAAAATCTCTTTCATCAAGACTGAACTACATACAGTTTTCTCCTTTTCATTAAAATGGTGAATTTTTCCAAAGGACTAGAATACTAGTAGCAACATCACTCTTCCAATACAGATTATTAGACCCTATTTATACCTCGACTTTCCTAGTTCTGGAGCCTCAGAGAAAAAAGTTTAAAGAAACAAAAAAAAAGGCAAAAACCCCAAAACCATTCCTAATAGTGGCAATCTAGATCATTCAGCCTAGGCCGGGGCTGGTGACTCGCGCCTGTAATCCCAGCACTTTGGGAGGTCGAGGCAGGTGGATCACTTGAGGTCAGGAGTTCAAGACCAGCCTAGCCAACATGGCAAAATCCCGTCCCTACTAAAAATACAAAAATCTGCTTAGCGTGGTGGTGCATGTCTGTAGTTGCAGCTAATAGCTCATAAGTCAAGATCATGCCACTGCCCTCCATCCTGGGTGACAGAGTAAGACTCTAACTCAAAAAAAAAAAAAAGAAAAGAAAAAGAAAAAAAGGCCAATGTTATCAATATACTATAATAAAACTTACGTGAATGTGCTCTCTCTCCCTCTCTGCCCCAAAATAACTGCATTGCACTATACTCACCTATTTTTGGACCTCAGTTGACTACAGGTAATTGACACTGTGAAAAATGAGTTTCTAGATAAAGGGAGACTACTGTACAGAGTAAGAGAAATATGTAAAACCATATAACAGAGCTGCATACAGCGCAATGCAGCCTGAGAAAATCTACAGGATGAATCTTCCAAAAAAAAATAAATTACAAAAAAAAATTCTGCTTTTTTTTTTTTTTGAGAGAGTTTCTCTCTTGTGGTCCAGGGTAGAGTACAATGGCACAATCTCGGCTCACTGCAACCTCTGCCTCCTGGGTTCAAGCAATTCTCCTGCCTAACTGTCCCGAATAGCTGGAATTACAGGTGTGAGCCACTGTGCTAGGCCAAACTTTCTGCTTTCTGTTCCATGTTTTAGGTTATTTTAAAAATTTAAATATGAATATTTAGGCCGGGTGTATGGCTCACATCTGTAATGCCAGCACTTTGGGAGGCCAAGGCGAGCGGGATCACCTGAGGTCAGGAGTTTGAGACCAGCCTGGCCAACAGGCGAAACCCTGTCCCTACTAAAAATACAAACATTAGCCCGATGTGGTGGCGCACACCTATAGCTACTCCGGAGGCTGAGGCAGGAGAATTGCTTGAACCCGGGAGGCGGAGGTTGCAGTAAGCCAAGATCGCATCACTGCACTCCAGCCTGGGTGCTAGGCTCTGTCTAAAAATAATAATAATAATATTTAACTCATAAAAATCCAAAGTTAATGAATATTGTTATCATCCTGCCAGAAAGTAAAGGAAACTAACTTCCATCTGCCTCCTTATCAACTTATATTTTATTGTTGTGGTATATTTTAATGCCATATGTATTTAAGACCATAAGGCATTATTATTTTCATAGTCAACTGATTTACTCAAATATTTAGCACTTTCTTTATTCTGAATTCCTACTGAAAAAGGATGTATCACAGAAAATTGCAAACATCTACAAAACCAGTATAGTAAACACCTAGACTCACTGATTACAAATTCATGGCCAATCTATTTTTATCTGTATCCCCATCTTTCCATGTTATTTTGCAATATCTCATACTCCATAATATTTCATCCATATGTGTTTCATCATGTATCTCTAACGGGATATTTTAACATAACAGAATACCTCTAGTACATGTAATAGTATTTACTCAGTAAAAATATCCCTATCCACACCCTGCCCTACAGTTGTTATAAATTTGGCAGGACTCTGTAAAATAAAAAACCATTGGAAATTCCAAACAACCAAAGTAAATTAACCATCTGAAACATAGCTTCATTCATATCAAAACTATACATGCAGCCCCTTAACAAAATTTCATACTTTACTCAAAATTTTTTTTTAATTACTAGATTGTGAGTGGGAATACAGACTTGGAAAAGGGGGTGGTTAGACTGGATGTTAAAAAAAATTAACAGAATGCCAATCTGTACTTTTCTGTACTGTTAGTAGGAACATATCAGTATAACAACTATGAAGTGAAATTTCAAATTGGAATACTATGAGATATCGCCAAAGACAAACCAAATGACCTAAGCTGGGCATGGTAGTACACGGCTGTGGTCCCAGCTATTTGGCTGAGGCAGGAGGATCTCTCAAGTGAAGGAAAGAGTTTGAGACCAGGCTTGGGCAAAACAGCAAGAACCCCATTTCAAAAATAAATAAATAAACCTCGATAGCAATTTATCTTTCAGGTTCTCTCACACATACCAAATGACTTAAGATTTTTAACTATGCTAAATTTTAAATTACTTAAAACTGGAAAACAAACTAAATGTCCATTAATTGAGAACAGGTTTAACAAATTATGGCACACTACTGGCCGGGCCCGGTGGCTCACGCATGTAATCCCAGCACTTTGGGAGGCTAAAGCAGGTGGAACACTTGAGCTCAGGAGTTCAAGACCAACCTGAAACCTCACCTCTACCAAAAATACAAAAATTAACCGGGTGTGGTGGCACGTGCCTGTAGTCCCAGCTACCTGGGAAGCTGATGTGGGAGGATTGCTTGAGCCCCGGAGGCAAAGGTTGCAGTGAGCCAAGATTGTGCCACCACACTCCAGCCTAAGCAACAAAGTGAGACCCTGTCTCAAAAACAAAAACGAAAAACTATGGCACACTCTGCTGCTTAAAAAATGAGAAACTCATTATGCATGGATATGAGAGTGAAACAAAAAAATCAAGGTACAAACAACGTATATATACTGTTGAATTTGTGTAACAAACACACATCTACCTTTTTCTTGGTAATTCATACACTGAGTATCTCTGGAGAGCAGATCTAAGCCACTGAGGTACAGGGTTGGGAGGAAAATTTTTACTGAATAGCTTCTCTCATCTTTTCAATACATACTCAAAACCAAAAAATTCAAAACTGAAGTAAAAATAAAATTATATGAAAATATTTGAAATATAATGAACGAAAATTGTGAACTATTCTTAAGGAAAAGACATCATCTGCTTTAACAGTAATATTCACATGTACATTAATAATAATTCACAGGAATGGATTATTTCCAGCACCCATATGACCCTATTTACTAGCAAAGGTAGATCTATATAAAGGCGGTGAAAGTAAAGGATGTCAGGAAAAAGGGGAGAAAATAAATAAGAAAGGCCACAATTGGGTTATAACAAAGCACTACTTAAGAAACTACCTGTCACGTTCATTCTATGAGGCCAGTATACTCTGAAAGCAGAACTAGACTAAGACGGCTGGGCACGGCGGCTCACACCTGTAATCCCAGCACTTTGGGAGGCTCAGACAGGCAGATTACTTGAGATCAGGAGTTCAAGACCAGCCTGGCCAATATGGTGAAACCCCGTCTCTACTAAAAATACAAAAATTAGCTGGGTGTGGTGGCACGTGCCTGTAACCCCAGCTACTTGGGAGGCTGAGGCAGGAGAATCACTTGAACCCGGGAGGCAGAGGATGCAGTGAGCCGAGATCACACCACTGAAGCCTGGGCGATGAGGGCGAAACTCCGTCTCAAAAATATAAAAACAAAAAACATCAACAACAAAAAGAACTAGACAAAAGGTATCACACAAATAGGAAAACTGTAGACCAATATCCTTTGAGTATAGATTTTTAAATCTTCAGCAAAATACAAGCAAAACACATCCAACAACATTACACAACATGACCAAGTAGGATTTACCCCAGGACTTCAAAGTTGGTTCAAATTACAAAAATCAATCAATATAATACATCATATGGATAGAATAAAGGGGGAAACGCAAAATTGTCTTCTCAATAGACACAAAAAAGATCTTACAAATGTGACAAAATAGGTATAAAAGAGAACATTCTAAATATGAAAGGTAATATAACAAAACCACAGCTGACATCATAGTTAATGAAAAAGACTCAATTATTTCCTCCTAACATCAAAAACAAGACAAGGATGTCTGCTTTTTCCACTAGTATTCCGCATCACACTGGAGGCTCTAGCCAGGGTAAGTAAGCAAAGGGGGAAAAGGGCAACTAGATTAGAAAACATGCAGATTGCATGGTCATGTACACAGAAAATCCAAAATAATTCATAAAAAAATACTATTACTAACAAACAGTAATCAATTCTATTAATTAACAGAGATGAGTTCAGCAAAGTTGCACGATAAAATAATATACAAAATGTTTGTATTAATATTAAATATTAAAATAATATACAAAATTTTCATAAACATGAGATAATTTGAGAATGAAATCAAAAACAAATTCATTTATAAAAGGACAAAGAAAGACTAAAATACTTAGGAATAAATTTTTTTAAGTGCAGAATTTATACACTGAAAATTACAAAGTATCATGGAAAGAAGTGAAAGACGAATCTAATTGGATGAAAAGTCATCTATTATTCATGGATTGGAAGACTTAATATTGCTAAGATGGCAACACTATGCAAACTACCCCACAGATTCAGCACAATCCCTATCAAAATCATAACTGGCTTTTTTGCAGAAACTTACAACCTTGTTCTAACATTAATATGAAACACCAAAGATGCAAAAGAGCCAAAATGATCTTGAAAAAGGGTAAAGTTAAAAAACTTATACTTTCCAATTTCAGAAACACAGTAAAATTAATTACTACAAAAATACTGTAATTAATTACTACAAAAATACTGTAACTAACACTTACAATTTTTATTTATTTTTTGTTGAGACAAGAGTCTTGCTCTGCCACCCAGGCAGGCTGGAGTGCAGTGGCATGATCTCAGCTCATTGTAACCTCCACCTCCCAGGTTCAGGCGATTCTCCTGCCTCAGCCTCTTGAGTAGCTGGGATTACAGGCATGTGTCACTACACCTGACTACTTTTTGTATTTTTAGTAGAGATGAGGTTTGACCCTCATGTTGGACACGATGGTCTAGAACTCCTGATCTCAGGTGATCCACCCACCTTGGCCTCCCAAAATTCTGGAATTACAGGTGTGAGCCACCACCTCATTGAGAGCACAGAACCAACCTCTTACGTAGTTATGACCAACTGACTATCAATAAGGATGCAAAGACCATTAAATAGGTAAAGAATATTCTTTTCAGGCTGGGCGTGGTGGCTGTCTCTTGTTTTGTTTTTTGGAGACAGAATCTTGCTCTGTCGCCCAGGGTAGAGTGCTATGGCACAATATCAGCTCACTGCAACTTCCGCTTCCTGGGTTCAAGTGATTCTCCTGCCTCAGCCTCCCAAGTAGCTGGGATTACAGGCATCTGCTACCACATCCGGCTAATTTTTGTATTTTTAGTAGAGATGGGGTTTCACCACGTTGGCCAGGCTGGTCTCGAACTTCTGACCTCAAGTGATCTGCCCGCATCAGCCTCCCAAAAGTGCTGGGATTAAAGCTGTGAGCCACCGTGCCCGGCCTAGCCACCGTGCCTAGACTGGCTCTCTTAAAAAAATTAAAATTAGCCAGACGTGCTGGCGCATGCCTGTAATCCCAGCTACTTGGGAGGCTGAGACATGAGAACTCCTTGAACCCAGGAGGCAGACGTTGCAGTGAGCCAAGATCCGGCTCTGGGTTGCATTGCAGCCTGGGTGACAGAGCGAGACTCTGTCTGAAAAAAAAAAAAAAGAAAAAGAAAAAGAATATTCTTTTCAACAAGTGGACACCCACATGCAGCAAAATAAAATTGGACCCCTCACTCACACCATATACAAAAAATAATTCAAAATGCATCAAAGGTTTTAGAAGAAAACATAGGGTAAATCCTCATAACCAAGAATTACACAATGGTTCTAACATACACCAACAATAGCAAACAAACAGAATGTATCAGGATTTAAATTCTTGTAATTCAAGGTATATGATCAAACTAATAAAAAGACAACCCAAATAAGAGGAGAAAATATGTGTGTATCAAATAAACCCAAAGAATAGGAGAAAATACTTGCATCATATATAATAATGGACTTATATGTAAAATATATAAAGACCTCTTATTACTTAATAACCAAAAGGCAAAAAAGCCCCAATTAAAATATAGTCAAAGACTCTAGATATGTAATTGTCCAAATAAAATACATAAATGACCCAAAAGTATATGAAAATATATTGAACATCATTAGCCAGCAGAGGAATGCAAATGAAAATCATAATGAGATACCACTGCTCCACACCCAAAAGGACGGCTATAACCAAATAAAGTGTCAGCAAGCATATGGAGGAAGTGGAACCCTCATACATTGCTAGGAGGGATATATTATGGTAAAGCAGCCTTGCAAAACATCCTGGCAGTTACTCAAAGGGTTGAATATAGAATAACCAAATGACCCAGGAATTCTACTCCTAGGGATATAACCAAAAGAAATAAAAACTGGTCAACATGGTGAAACTCTGCCTCTACTAAGAACACAAAAATTAGCTGGGCGTGGTGGTGCGCGCCTGTAGTCCAAGCTACTTGGGAGGCTGAGACATGAGAATCGCTTGTACCTGGGAGGTGAAACTTGAAATGAGCCAAGATCGTGCCACTGCACTCCAGCCTGGGTGACAGAGTGAGACAACATCTCAAAAAGTAATAATAATAAAAAATAAAACAAAGTGGGGGCCGGGTGCGATGGCTCACGCCTGTAATCCCAGCATTTTGGGAGGCCAAGGTGGGCAGATCACCTGAGATCAGGAGTTCGAGACTAGCCTGGCCAAAATGGTGAAACCCTGTCTCCACAAAAATACAAAAAACTCAGCTCGGCATAGTGGCACAACCCTGTAGTCCCAGCTACTTAGGAGGCTGAGGCAGAAGAAACACTCAAACCCAGGAGGCAAAGGTTGCTGTGAGCTGAGATCACACCACTGCACTCCAGCCTGGGCGATGAGAATGAAACTCTGTCTCAAAAAAAGAAAAAACAAAAACAACAACAAAGTGGGGAAGGGGAAATATGAGTTTTACAGGGCAGGCGCAGTGGCTAATGCTTGTAATCCCAGCACTTTGGGAAGCTAACATGGACGGATCATAAGGTCAGGAGTTCGAGTCCAGCCTGGCCGACAAGGTGAAACCCCATCTCTACTAAAAATGCAAAAATTAGCCAGGCATGGTGGCGCATGCCTGTAATCTAATCCCAGCTACTTGGGAGGCTGAAGCAGGAGAATTGCTTGAACCCGGGAGTTTGCAGTGAGCTGAGATTGTACCACTGCACTCCAGCCTGGGCAACAGAGCAAGACTCCGCCTTGAAAAAAAATTGGGGGGAAAAAAAGAGTTTTATATACATTCAACTTAAGTTGTTAACAGCTTAAAATAGATTACTGTACCTGTAAGATGTTTTATTTAAGCCCCATGGTAACAACATGGAAAATGCCTATTGAAGATACATAAAATGAAATGATAAAGAAAACAAAGTATGTCAATTAAAAAAAAAAACAAAAAACAAGGAAGGCAGAAAGACAGCAAAAGGGGGACAAAACAGCTACAAACCAGACGAGAAACAATTAGCAAAATGGTAATAACAAATCTTTGTCTGTAATTACTTTAACAAAAAATGAGGCCAAATACAGGCCACAGTGGCTCACACCTGTAATCCCTGCACTGTGGGAGGCCAAAGTGGGTGGATCATTTCAGGCTAGGAGTTCAAGACCAGCCTGGCCAACATGGTGAAACCCCGTATCTATTAAAAATGAAAAACCACACAAAATTAACCGGGGGTGGTGGAAGGCACCTGTAGCCCCAGCTACTCAGGAGGCTGAGGCACAAGAATCGCTTGAACCCAGAGGTGGAGGTTGCAGTGAGCTGAGATTGCCCCACTGCACTACAGCCTGGATGACAGAGGGAGAGCCTGTCTCCATAAAAAAAGAGGCCGACCACAGTGGCTCATAACCATAATCCCAGCACTTTGAGAAGCTAAGGCAGGTGGATCACTTGAGGAAGATCACTTGAGACTGGCGTGGCCAACACTGCAAAACCCTGTCTCTACTAAAAAGACAAAAATTAGCCAAGCGTGTTGGTGCACGCTTGTAATCCCAGCTACTCAGGAAAACTGAGACACTAGAATTACTTGAACCCGGGAGGCGGAGTTTGCAGTGAGCTAAGATCATGCCACTGCACTCCAGCCTAGGCGACAGAGCAAGCCTCTGTTTCAAAAAAAAAAAAAAAAAAAAAAAAGCAATTACTATAAGAAAAAAAATGGATTAAACTCCCCAATCTAAAGATAGAGTGGTTGAGTGAATGAAAACCATTATACAATTAGGTACTATCTATAAAAGGCTCACCTAAGATTTAAGTGAGCCTTAAATCTCACTTCACAGAGGCTGAACGTGAATGGCTGCAAAAAGATATTCTATGCCAGTGGTAAACAAAAGAAAGCAGAGGTTTTGGCCATACTTATATAAAACAAAATACACTTTAGGTAAAACACTGTCACAAGAGACAAAGGAACACATGATATGATAATAAAACAGTCAATTCATCAGGAAGCTATAACACTTGCAAATACGTAATTCACCTAACATCAGACCACCCAAATATAAAAAGCAAATAATGACAGAATTGAAAGGAGAAATAGAGTAACACAAGGAGATTTTAATACTCCACGTTAAAATAATGGAGAGAACCACAATGAAGATCAATAAAGAAACAGAGGACTTGAACAATTGCATATAACAAACATATATAAAACACCAATACCAAACAGCAGCAGAATACACATTCTTGTCAAAAGCACATAGAATATTCTCCAATATGGTCACACAGAGTCTTTTTTTTTTGACACAGGATCTTACTCTGTCGCCCAGGCTGGAGTGCAGTGGCGTGATCTCAGCTCGCTGCAACATCTACCTCCTGGGTTCAAGCAGTTCTCGTGCCTCAGCCTCCTGAGTAGCTGGGACTACAGGCATGAGCAACCATGCCCAGCTAGTTTTTGTATTTTTAGTGGAGATGGGGTTTTGCCATGTTGGCCATGCTGGTCTTGAACTCCTGACCTCAGGTGATCTCGCCTTGGCCTCCCAAAGTGCTGAGATTACAGGCGTAAGCTGCCATGCCCAGCCACACAAGTCTTAACAAATTTATGAAGACTGAAATCATACCAAGTATCTGTTCCAGTCACAATCAAGTGAAACTAGAAATCAGTATCAGTACAAAAACTGAAAAATCCACCAATAGGTGGAAATTAAACAACAAACTCTTGAACAATCAATGGAAGAAAGAAGAAATCACAAGGGAAATTTGAAAATATCTTTTGACAGGGCCGGGCGCGGTGGCTCACGCCTGTAATCCCAGCACTTTGGGAGGCGGAGACAGGAGGATAACAAGGTCAGGAAATCGAGACCATCCTGGCTAACACAGTGAAACCCCGTCTCTACTAAAAATACAAAAAATTAGCCGGGCGTGGTGGCAGGCACCTGTAATCCCAGCTACTTGGGAGGCTGAGGCAGGACAATCGCTTGAACCCGGGAGGTGGAGCTTGCAGTGAGCTGAGATCGTGCCAGCTCACTCCAGCCTGGCGACAGAGCGAGACTCCCTCTCAAAAAAAAAAACACAAAACTTATGGGATGCAGCAAAAACACTACTAAGAGAGAAGTCTGTATCAGTAAATGCCAACATTGAAAAACAAAGTTTTCAACTCAACAACCTAAATTTACACCTCGAGAAGACAGAAAAATAAATCTAAGCCCAAAGTTGGTAGAAGGAAAGAAACAAAGACTAGAGCATATAGAAATGAAAAGATAAACTACAGAGCAACATCTTTTATAAATACTGATGCAAAAATCCTCAACAAAATACTAGTATATCAAATTAAATAGCACATTAAAAGAAACATACGGCTCCCGTTAGGGCCAGCTGGAGAAAAAAAAAAGGGGGGGCCGGGCGCGGTGGCTCATGCATGTAATCCCAGCACTTTGAGAGGCCGAGGAGGGCGGATCACAAGGTCAGGAGATGGAGACCATCCTGGCTAACATGGTGAAACCCTGTCTACTAAAAAATACAAAAAAAATTTAGCCGGGCGTGGTGGGGGGCGCCTGTAGTCCCAGCTACTCAGGAAGCCGAGGCAGGAGAATGGCGTCAATCCGGGAGGTGGAGCTTGCAGTGACCCGAGATTGCGCCACGGCACGCCAGCCTGGGCAACAGAGCGAGACTCCGTCTCAAAAAAAAAAAAAAGAAATATACATCATGACCAAGTGGAATTTAATCTTGGAATGCAACGATGGTTCAAAAATAGAAAAAAAAAATCAACAGAATACAGCACATTAACAGAATAAAGGACCCCAAAAAAACTACATGACCTTCACACTTGAGGTAGAAAAAACATCTGACAAAATTCAACTACCTTTCATGACTGAAAAGAAAGCACTCAACAAACTAGGAATAAAAAGAAATTACATGCCAGGTATGGTGGCTCACACCTGTAATCCCAGCACTTTTGGGGGGCCAAGGTGGGAAGACTGCTTGAGCCCAGGAGTCTGAGACCACCCTAGGCAACATAGTAAAATCTTGTTTCAACAAAAAATTACAAAATTAGTCAGGTGTCATGGTGCACACCTGCAGTCCCAGCTACTTGGGATGCTGAGGTGGGAGGATCACTTGAGCTCAGAAGTTTTAGACCCACCTAGGCAACATAGTAAAACCTGACCTGTACAAAAAGGTTAAAAATCAGCGGAGTATGGTGGTGCATGGCTGTAGTCACAGCTACTTGGGAGGTCAAGGTGGGAGTATTGCTTGAGCCTGGGTGGTTGAGGCTGCAGTGAGCCATATCACCACTGCACTCCAACCTAAGTGACAGAATGTGACCCTGTCTACACTTTGGGAGGCCGAGGTGGGCAGATCACAAGGTCAAGAGTTCGAGACTAGCCTGACCAACATGGTGAAACCCCGTCTCCACTAAAAATACAAAAAAATTAGCCGGGCGTGGTGTCAGGCGCCTGTAATCCCATCTACTCAGGAGCCTGAGGCAGGAGAATGGCTTGAACGAGGGAGGTGGAGGTTGCAGTGAGCCGAGATCGCGCCACTGCACTCCATCATGGACACCAAGAATGAAACTCTGTCTCAAAAAAAAAAAAAAAAAAGAATGTGACGCTGTCCAAAAACAAAAACACAAACAAAAAAGTAATTACATAAATATAATAAAGACTATATATAAAAAGACCACAGCTAATATGCTTGACAGTGAAACACTGAAAGCTTTTCCTCTAAGATAAAGAGCAAGGGAAATATACCACTGTAGCAACCTATTCAACACATTATTTGAAGTCCTAGCAGAGTAATTAGGCAATAAATAGGGAAGCAAGGAGCCAAATTATCTCTTTGCAGATGACATGAACCTTTATGTAGGAAACCCTAAAGATTCCACACGCTATTAGAACAAAGAAGCAAATTCGGCAAAGTTCCAAGATACAAAATTAAACCTGAACATTTCTATATACTCATAATGAACAATATAAAAGGAAATTAAAACAATCACATTTGCAATAGCATAAAAAAGAATAGAATACTTAAGAATAAACTTAACCAAGGAGGAGAAATGGTTGTACACTCCAAAACACTGTTGGATGAAATTACGGAAGATATAAATAAATGGAAAGATAGCCTGTTTTCATGGATTGGAAAACTTAATATTGTTAAGATATCCCTACTACCCAAAGGAAACTAAAGTCAATGCCATCCCTATCAACATCTCAAAAGCCATTTTTTTTTGCAGAAATAAAAAAACTATCCTAAATTAGTGTGTAATTTCAAAGAACCCCCAAATAAACAAAACAATCTTGAGAAGAAAAAAAAAAAAAACTGAAGGCCTTACATTTCTTGATTTCAAAACATATCATGAGGCTATGGTAATCAAAACAATATTGTACTGGCATAAAAATATAGACATGTAAGTCAATGGAACAGAATAGAGATCCACAGAGATCCCTGGCCAGGGTGGTGGCTCACACCTGTAATCCCCGCTTTTTGGGAGTCTGAGGCAGGAGGATCACTTGAGCCCAGGAATTCAAGAACAGCCTGGGCAACATGGTTGGACCCCGTCTCAATTTTACTAAAAATTAAAAAAAAAAAAAAAAAAACAGAGATCCCTGAAATAAATCACATACATGGTCAAATGACCTTCGACAACAGTGCCAAGACTACACAATGGGGAAAAGATAGTCTCTTTAACAGATGGTATTGTGAAAACTGGATATGCACATGCTGAAGAACGAAGATGAACTCTCATTTTACACCTTACATAAAAATTATCATAAAATAGATCAAAGACCTAAACATAAGACCTCCAACTATGAAACTCCTAGAAGAAAACAGACGAAAAAACTTCATGATATTGGAAGGAACAAGAATTTCCTGGCTATGAGACCCAAAGCACAAGTAAAAATTTTTTAAAAAGCAAAAATGGAAAAAAAAAATCACATTAACTTCTACACAGCAAAGAAAACAGTCAACAGAGTGAAAAGGCAGGTACAAAATGGGAGAAAATACTTGCAAATCATACATCAGATAATTGGTTAATATCCAGGATATATGAATAACTCTTATACCTCATTTTTTAAAAATAACAAGATTTAAAAATATGCAAAGGGATATGCACAGTAGCTCATGTCTGGAATCCCAGCATTTTGGGAGGCCAAAGTGGGAACATCATTTGAGCCCAGTAGTTGAAGACCAGCCTGGGCAGCATAGCCAGAAACCTGTCTCTACAAAAAAACACAAAAATTAGCCAAGTGTGGTGGCATGCACCTGTACTCCCAGCTACTCAGGATGCTGAGATAGGAGGATCACTTGAGCCCAGGAGTTTGAGGCTGCAGTGAGCTATAACTGCACCACTGTATTCCACCCTAGGTGACAAAGAGGCCCAGTATCATTAAAAACATATGTATATGGACAAAGGACTTATAAAATGATGCAGCAATTATGCAAAACACTATAGAGGTTCATCAAATTAAAAGTAGGCCGGGTGCGGTGGCTCACACCTATAATCCCAACACTTTGGGAGGCCGAAGCAGGAGGATCACTTAAGGTCAGGAATTTGAGACCAGCCTGGCTAACATGGCAAAACCACTGTAATCCCAGCTACTTGGGAGGCTGGGGCACAAGAATTGCTTGAGCCCAGGAGGCAGAGGTTGCAGTGACTTGAGATCGCATCATTATACTCCAGCCTGGGTGACAGAGGGAGACCCTTGTCTCAAAAAAAAATAAAAATAAAAGTAGAATTACCCTATGTTCCACCAATGCCATTCTAGGTATTTATCCAAAAGAAATGAACATCACTGGGTGCAGTTGCTCATGCCTGTAATCCCAGCACTTTGGGAGGCCGAAGCAGGCAGACCACCTGAGGTCAGGAGTTCGACACCAGCCTGGCCAACATGGTGAAACCCCATCTCTACTAAAAATACAAAGTTAGCTAGGCGTGGTGGTATATGCCTGTAATCCCAGCTACTTGAAAGGCTGAGGCAGAATTGCTTGAGCCCAGGAGGCAGAGGTTACAGTGAACTGAGATTGTGCCATTGCACTCCGGCCTGGGCAACAAGAGCGAAACTCCATCTCAAAAAAAAAAAAAAAATTGAAAACCAGATCTCAGAGATATCTGCATATCCATGTTCACTGTAGCATTACTCACAATAGTCAAGATGTGGAAGCAATCTAAATGTCCATCAACCAATGAACTGATAAAGAAAAGATGCTTTAGTATGGAAAAGAAAAAGTATGTTGGAATATTATTCAGCCATAAAAAAAGGTTATCGGCAGGGCGTGGTGGCTCATGCTTTTAATCCCAGCACTTTGGGAGGCCAAGGCGGGTGGATCACGAGGTCAGGAGATCGAGACCATTCTGGGGAACATGGTGACACCCTGTCTCTACTAAAAATACAAAACAAATTAGCCAGGCATGGTGGCATGTGCCTGTAGTCCAAGCTACTTAGGAGGCTGAGGCAGGAGAATTGCTTGAACCCACGAGGCAGAGGCTGCAGTGAGCCGAGAACCCACGAGGCAGAGGATGCAGTGAGCTGAGATCACGCCACTGCACTCCAGCCTGGGTGACACAGTAAGACTCTGTCTCAAAAAAAAAAAAAAAAAGGTGATCCTGTCATATGCTACAACATGGATGAACCTTGAAAACATTATGCTAAGTGAAATGTGAAATAACCCAATCACAAAACAACAAATACTGCATGATTCCACTTACATGAGATGTCTAAAGTAATCAAATTCACAGAAGCAGAAAGAATGTTAGTTGTCATGGATTGAACAAAGGAGAAAATCAGGAGTTGTTGTTCAATGGGTATAGAGTCTCAGTCAAGCAAAACGAAAATGTCCTGGAGATCTGCTGTTGTACATGTACATGATTCATGACACTATAATACACACTTAAATACTGTTTTTTTGTTTGTTTATTTTGAAATGGGGTTTCGCTCTGTCTCCCAGGCTGGAGTGCAGTGGCGCAATCTCAGCTCACTGCAACCTCCACTCACTGCAACCTCCACCTCCCGGGTTCAAGTGATTCTCCTACCTCAGCCTCCCGAGTGGCTGGTATTACAGGAGCGCGCCACCATGCCCAGCTAATTTTTGTATTTTTAGTAGAGATGGGGTTTTGCCATGTTGGCCAGGCTGGTCTTGAACTCCTGACCTCAGGTGATCCATCAGCCTTGGCCTCCCAGAGTGCTGGAATTACAGGCGTGAGCCACCGCACCTGGCCGTAAATACCGTTAAAGAGTAAATCTCACTCTAGCCTGGGCAACAGAGCCAGACCCTATCTCAAAAAAAAAACCAAAAAAGGTACATTTAGGTTACATGCTTTTTAACCATAATTTTAGAAGAAGACAGAAGAACTGATACATACTACAAGAGGCATGAACCAGAAAACATTAAACTAAGTAAGGGAAACCAGACCCAAAAGGACCATATATTGTATGATTCCATTTCTATGAAATGTACACAATAGACAAATCTACAGATTGGTAAAAACTGAAGGCAGGGCTGGGCACAGTGGCTCACGCCTGTAATCCCAGCACTTTGGGAGGTGGAGGCGGGCGGATCACAAGGTCAGGAGATCAGAGACCATCCTGGCTAACACAGTGAAACCCCGTCTCTACTAAAAATACAAAAAAAAATTAGCTGGGTGTGGTGGCGGGCGCCTGTAGTCCCAGCTACTCAGGAGGCTGAGGCAGGAGAATGGCGTGAACCCGGGAGGCGGAGCCTGCAGTGAGCCGAGATCACGCCACGGCACTCCAGCCTGGGTAACAGAGCGAGACTCCGTCTCAAGAAAAAAAAAGAAAAAAAAACCTGAAGGCAGATTGACAAGAGTTCTGTGTTTCTGTCTGGGATGATGCAAATATTCCACAATTGATCGCACTGATTGTTGCACAACTCTGTGACTATACTACAAACCACTCAATTAAAAACGTTAAAAGCTGAATTTTATGATATGATAACTGCATTTTCAATAAAGCTGTTAGAGAAAAATCTACTATGATACACAGTTTTGAGAATCTTATGTTAATGGATATTGCTGTAAAAAAGAAAAAAATATGTATATACATGTATACACACACTGCTTTATCCTCAACTGTATACTGTGTAATGTTAGTATCTTGAAAGATTTCTGTTTTCCATCTGCTGCTAGGTACAACACTTGGGTACTTCTGGTATTTTTATTTGTTCATAATCCTCATTCCAGTAGGAATTTAAGACACCTAAGACCTTCAAATAAGTACTACAGAATACTTGCAGTTTTTTCAAAAGCGCATGTGGTTCATCAAATTGTCCACAAAACAGAAGGACCTATCTTAAGTAATGGTCAAAGAAAACCTAACATCCAGCCAGATGCAGTGGCTCACGCCTGTATCCCAGCACTTTTGGTGGGCGGATCACTTGAGTTCAGTTCAAGACCAGCCTGGCCAACGTGGTGAACCCTCATCTCTACTAAAAATACAAAAATTACCAGGTATGGTGGCGGGTGCCTTAAGAAAAAAAAAAGAAACTACCATCCAATAGAATCTATTTGCTTTCTATAACCTAACAACTGGATTTAAATCCTAGGATCGGAGCCTCTCAATTACTTGCAGTTACATATTGAGTCCCAAAAAGCTTGGGGATTTTAAAAGGTAAGAAACGGGGAACAGGTCAGGCAAGAGTAATCCCAGCACTTTAGGAGGCAAAGGCTGGCAGATGGCGTGAACTCAGGAGTTTGAGACCAGCCTGGGCAACACAGTGAGACCCTGTCTCAAAAGAAAAAAAAAATTAGAAAAAAAAAAAAAAGAGAGAGAGAGAAAGAGAGAGAGAGAAAGTGAGAAAGAAAGATGTTATAGAGATTTACTTGAAAAGGTTGGGGAAAAGGGCTTCTGGTAAAGTTTAACTTTTGAATATATATGGAAATCTCATCTTCAAAATTCAGACCTTTCTACATAAAACTCCTTCTTCATTGAAGTGATGATTCTTCCCCGCTAGTTTATACTTCACTTTACCATTACAACAGACCAATTTCAGAAGGACAATGTTTATCAGCACTTTCTCCAATTTTTTTTTTTTTATCACATTTAGATGTCCTTACCTGGTTCAGGGAGCTCAGCCTGTGGTGTCAAACTGGGAATTCCTGGCTCCTTTTCCATGTCACCAATGCTGGCACTGGATTTATCACAAACATTTAACCGTGGCCCAGCTGAATCTAAGCAGTCAGCATGATTTTGCTCTGTCAGTGGTTCCTCAAGTATGCTTGCTGAAGGAGTTCTATGCTCTGGAAACTCATCCCGCCCCTCCTGCACAGGGTCACTAGGAAGTAAGACCCTAAAGGCACACTCAGAGTTTTCTTTCTCTTTAAATCTGTTCATGCGCTTACGAGGTTTAGTGCGCCTTTGGTTTAAACGCTGCCACCGCTTTTTAGGCACCACTTGATTTACACCATTGAGTTCATCATTCTCACTGTTCATTACAGAGTCCAGCTCTGGGCCTTTTCCGTTTTCAAAAGAGAGTCCTTTTTCAGAAATTTTACCAGGATCAGATTGCTTAACCTTGCTATCGAAATGCACATCAGAAAAATGGTCACCATCTTCACTTGTTAAGTGGCCCATTATCTGAAGGGGATCCTCTTTACTAGGATCTTCTGCCCCACCTCTCAATGAACCTCCACGTTCTCGGTCTCCCTGCAGTACAGCATCAAGAGTCACACTTGGAAGCTGATTCAGTTTTCTTTTGCGCTCGGTCTTTAAGGCTTTACGGTTCACTGTGTTCTTTACCATTTGGGCTGAAAAAGCATCTCGCAATTTGGATGAAGGCTTTGATCGTCCACAGTTGCGCCTAGTAACACAGTCTGAACGACTTTTACCAGAAGCAGGGAGGTCTCTCTTGTCGGACAGTAAGCCAGGTAGGGAAGCAGACAACTCGCCAGATAATGCAGAGTCACCCCCACTAGGGCTAGGATTGGCGGAGTTCTGAGTGCCATCTCCCTTTTTCTCTGAATTGTGTGTGGAGCCTCCTGAAACCAAAACCTTAGAGACTCCTACAGGACTATTAGTAGAACAGTCCCCACGACCAGGACTCCGGTAAGAGACCAGGTTTTGAGCAGTCATCAACCGCTGCTCCTTCGTCTTACTATCATGCATATCTTTCAACATCATTAGCAATGTACTGAATTTGTAGTCTGGTTCAATAGGTATGTGATTCTGACTAGAAGCAGAAGAGAAAAGTAATGGTTTTGATGGCTTTGATGTTCCAGAGTCACTGACATCCTCACCTAAGGATCTGTAAGAGAGTTCCTTCAACTCGGATAAAACATGTTTCACCACTGCTGTTTCTATGTCACTTGAATCCCTGGTTTTCTCATGCATATTGTTCAGTAGTTTTAGACCATCCACTTTCCCACTTTTAGAAATGCTGGCCAAAGGAGAGCCTTTGGTATCAGAAGAGCAGCATTTCAAACTGCACTCCTCATTTATAACTGGGGGTTCTGCCATAACTGGATTTTCTTTGTGTTTGCACTTTATACTTCGGAACTTGGGCTGTTTGCTTTTCGAATGTAATAGAGCTTGATTTGCTGCCCCACCCTTTATTAACGAGTTCTCACTGGATATGCTTGATGACAGGTTGAATTTTGGAGAGAGAGCATCATTTGTAAAATCTGACTGGGGTTTGTGAACAAGAGTAGATGCCTTCAGATCAGAGAGATTAACCTGAGACGTCTCGGTTCCAGGCTCTGCACTCTTAGTACAACCCATTAAGTGGTCTGTATGTGAGTTACTAATGAGAGGCTTCTGTTTTGCTTTTACCCTAGTGTTTGTGGCAGCAAACCTAGAATACTTTATCTTTTCATTTTTCTGCATAGATAACATGTTCTCTGTTCTATCGAAAGCATCTGGAATTTCAAGGACACTGTTATCAGACTCTGAGCTGTGTTCTATGGGATCCAGGTCACTGCTTCCATCATCAGAAGTGGTACAGATACTAATGGAATCACTTCGCTTTTCCTCATCACCTGCTCCAATATAGCAGAGCTTCACTTTTGAACCACACACCAGGCTTCGTTGGGGTTTATTCTTCTCTCGAGAACACTTTGAGATCAAAGCACCCTCAGGCAAGCCCAATAAAGAGTCACCATTTGAAGTCTCAAATTCTTTCTTTGCAGTGTTTTTTCCACAGGAAGAAAACAGAAAACTTCCTGGGGCAGTGTTGGACCCTGTGAGGCTATTTGCTATCCTGGAAAGTTCATTAGAGGCCTGCGTATCAGATATATCCCCAGAGATAAAGTTTAGGCCAAGGTTCTCTGGAATCTTTCCCCTCCGTTCATCTTTATGTGCTTCAAATTGTATGTGGCCCTTTTTCACACTAGTCCTTTTTGGATTATCAGAGCTCTTTCTGGCTCGAGATTTAGCGCAAGGCTTTTCCTTCTCATCTGCAGAATGTTCAGAATCAAAAGCCAGTGATTTCAAACAGCCATTAAGCAACAGGTCATGTTCTGACTCAGGATCATTTGTGCAGTCTTCAAATGGCATATCTTCTTCACTGTCCAACTTGATTGAACCAGGAATACATTTTCGGTTCTTTGACCCCTTGGGAACATCATACTGTTCTGCAAGTCCAACACTGGCTTCCCATTTACTCAAAATTTTCTGAGGAACCTTAAATTTAAAGGAGAAAAAGAATTATCACTTATCAAAGAAATGGGTGGGGGAAAAGGGAGATGAAATCAGAAGCTTTTTTTTTTATTCCTTTTTTTTTTTTTTTTGAGACAGAGTCTTGCTCTGTCGCCCAGGCTGGAGTGCAGTGGCACAATCTTCGCTCACCACAACCTCTGCCTCCCGGGTTCAAGTGATTCTCCTTCCTCAGCCTCCCGAGTAGCTGGGATTACAGGCACCCGCCACCACACCCAGCTAATTTTTTGTATTTTCAGTAGAATAGGGGTTTCACCATATTGGCCAGGCTGGTCTCAAACTCCTGACCTGAAGTGATCCGCTCACCTCAGCCTCCCAAAGTGCTGGGATTACAGCTATGAGCCACCGCACCCGGCCTGAAATCAGAAGCTTTTACAAACCTGTCAGGCCTCCTGCTTTTATGGAACCAGCCAGGTAGTTAGCACCTGAGCTCAAGCAGCATCTGAATCACCCTAATGGAGCTTCCTCAAAAATACTTCTGCTAATAAGATTATGTCATTAGAGTAAGGACTGATCTCACAAACACTCCACCCTCCCTGCATTTATAAGCACAAAGCAGAATATAGACTAAAACTGGTAACATTACATTTCTAAATTAAAGAATACTTGGCCGGGTGTGTGGCTCACGCCTGTAATCCCAGCACTTTCAGAGGCTGAGGAGGACGAATCACCTCAGGTCAGGAGTTCAAGACAACCCTGGCCAACATCGCCAAACCCCATCTCTACTAAAAATAAAAAAATTAGCCAGGTGTGGTGGCAGACACCTATACTCCCAGCTACTGTGGAGGCTGAGGCAGGAGAATCACTAGCACCCGGGAGTTGGAGATCACGCCATTGCACTCCAGCATGGGGGACAGAGCAAGACTCCATCTCAAAAAATTAATTAATTAATTAATTAATTAAGGAATATGAAGGCCAAACACATGTTCAGTTGCATAAAAAAGAAAGTAGGGAGGCTAAGACACGAGAATCATTTGTACCCAGTAAGTGGAGGCTCCAGTGAGCTGAGATCACGCCACTGTACTCCAGCCTGGGTGACAGAGCAAGACTCTTTCTCAAAAAGAAAAAAGAAAAGAAAAAAAGAAAAAGAAAAACCAAGAAAAAAAAAAGAAAAAGAAAAAAAGGTTAAAGATGATGAATATAGAAAAAACAGGATAAGAGGAATCAGCAGGTTTGATCTACCTCCCTAGGGAACTTGAAATTTGAAATTCTAGTTATCACTAGCCACCTGGCTAATCAAGAATCGACTATAAATGTTAAATATAACCTGGATTATAACCAAGCCATCTCCTAGGCTTCATCATGTAATCCAGAGCTATTATACTGATGACACCATGGGTATTACATTATCTTTTCTGGATACCTCACAGCATGAAAACATTGAGACTCTGAAATACAGCTAATTTTTCAGACTCTTATTTTCTTCCTTACCTCCATACAATAGGTATTAGTCAAGATTCTAACTACCACATAGTGTTCACAAATAGTTTAATATTTGTGAAGGGGATGTTCTGCAGAGCAAGTAAACATTCAGATCATTGCTGGGGATGGTGGCTCATGGCTGTACTCCCAGGACTTTGAGAGGCTGAGGCAGGTGGATTACATGAGCTCTGGAGTTCAAGACCAACCTGGGTAACACAACCAGACCCTGTCTCTACTAAAAACACACACACACACACGCACACACACACACACACTAGCTGGACATGCTGCATGCATATGGTCCCAGCTACTCAGTAGGCTGAGGTAGGAGGATCATTTGTGCCCAGGAGGTGAAAGTTGCAGTGTGCCGAAACCGTGCCACTGCACTCCAGCCTGGATGACAGAGCACGATCCTGTCTCAAATTTTAAAAAATAAAATAAATGAATAAAAGGCTGCGTGGAGTGGCTCACACCTTTAATCCCAGCACTTTGCGAGGCTGAGGCAGGAGGATGCCTTTAGCCCAGCCTGGGAAACACAGGGAGACCCACCCCTTCTCTAAAAAAAAAAAAAAAAAAAAAAAAAAAAATTTAAATAAATAGGCCAGGCACGGTGGCTCACGCCTGCAATCCCAGTGCTTTGGGAGGCTGAGGTGGGCAGATCACAAGGTCAGGAGATCGAGACCATCCTGGCTAACATGGTGAAACCCCGTCTATACTAAAAATATAAAAAATTAGCCAGGCCTGGTGGCGGACACCTGTAGTCCCAGCTACTCGGGAGGCTGAGGCAGGAGAATGGCGTGAACCCGGGAGGCGGAGGTTGTAGTGAGCTGACATCGCACCACTGCACTCCAGCCTGCACAACAGAGCGAGACTCTGTCTCAAAATAAATAAATAAAAATAAATAAATTAAAAAATAAATAATTACGGTAACGAGGCCGGGCACAGTGGCTCACGCCTGTAATCCTAGCATTTTGAGAGGCCAAGGTCGGGGGGATGGCGGGGGGTCACCTTAGGTTAGGAGGTCGAGACCAGCCTGGCCAACATAGTGAAACCCTGTCTCTACTAAAAATACAAAAATTAGCAGGGCGTGGTGGCGCAAGCCTGTAATCTCAGCTACTTGGGAGGCTGAAGCAGGAGAATTGCTTGAACCCAGGAGGCAGAGGTTGCGGTGAGCCGAGATCATGCCACTGCATTCCAGCTGGGGCGACAGAGTGAGACTCCATCTCAAAAAGAAAAAAAAAAAATTAGGGTAACTAGAGGAGTAGCCTCCTCTTAAAGAAAGGATCAAACGGACAATCTGGTAGTGTGTATTTTTTTTTTTTTAAGCACAGAAACACATATCCACTAATGCTCATGACTGTGACCAGAGTAAATCAATTTTCCAGAATCTGAAAGCCCCAATAAACACCTCTAAAAAGATTGGTAACTCTACGTACCTAAAGACTTAACAAAATAACCGACACATCCCTATCAGCAACCAGCTGAAATATCTGAAAGGAAGCCGTTAACCTCTTTCATCCTAACAACACATACTAATTGTTTCTAAAGCATCAATTGTATGTCATATTAAGTATTTTATACTTATTTCTAATGTTTACAACAGTTCTATAGGGTGTAAGTTATTGTACTAGCTTTAGAGATGAAGACACCAAGTCTTTGAGAACTCAAGTGTTAAGTGGCAGACCCTGCATATGAACTCTAAATTATCCTAATTATGATTTTTAAAAATAGTCTACAAGTATTGCCAGCATGGTATCTCATGCCTGTAATCCCATCACTTTGGGAAACCGACATGAGAAGATTAAGTCCAGGAGTTCAAGACCAGCCTGGGCAACATGGCAAGACCTTGTCGTTCTACAAAAAAATAAAAATAAAAATTGGGGCTGGGCACAGTGGCTCATGCCTGTAATCCCAGCACTTTGGGAAACCAAGGCAGATGGATCACTTGAGGACAGGAGTTTGAGACCAGCCTGGCCAACATGGTGAAACCCTGTCTCTACTAAAAATACAAAAATTAGCCAGGTGTGGTGGCATACACTTGTAATCCCAACTATTTGGGAGGCTAAGGCATGAGAATCGCCTGAACCCAGGAGGCAGAGGTTGCAGTGAGCCAAGATTGTACCATTGTACTCCGGCCTGGGTGACAGAGCAAGACTCTGTTTAAAAAAATAATAATAATAATAAATAAAAATTAGCCACTGTAGTCATACATATCTGTAGTCCCAGCTACTCGGGAGACTGAGTCAGGAGAATGGCTCGAGCCTGGGAGGTCATAGCTGCAGTAAAAGATGACTGTGCAACAGCACTCTAGCATGAACAACATAGAGAGACCCCCGTATCAAAGAATAATAATAATAAATAAAAGTATTTAGACCCAGGGGAGTATAAAACACCAAACTAAGAATTATTATTTCTCCTTCTAGAATTGAATATAAGAGAATATTAAATCATAGAGACAAACAGTAGAATGGTGGTGACAGTGATGGGAGAAGGACAAATGGGGAATTACTGTTTAACAGGTAAAAGAGTATCAGATTTGCAAGATGAAAATAATTATGAGATGTTTGCACACCATTATAAATGTATTTAAAACCATTAACTGTACACTTAAAAGTGTTTAAGATAGTAATTTTTATATTATATATATTTTAACACAATAAAAAAAACTGGAGGAAAAAAGAGTATTAAAATAAGCTGGTATTTTTCTCAGCCAAATTTAACATAAAACATCAAGCAAAAGAAAAAAAGCCACAATACTGATGGTTGAAATATAACTAGAGTAGAAACTTTAGACTTAAGCACTGACAAACATAAAAAAGAAAATTATTAAAAACTTTATGGTTCTCAGTGGGCGCAGTGGCTCACGCCTGTAATCCCAGCACTTTGGGAGGCTGAGGCGAGTTGATCACCTGACATCAGGAGTTCAAGACCAGCCTGGCCAATATGGCAAAACCTGTCTCTACTAAAAATACAAAAATTAGCCAGGTGTGGTGGCGGGCACCTATAATCCCAGCTACTTGGGAGGCTAAGGCACAAGAATGGCTCAAACCTGGGAGGCGGAAGTTGCAGTGAGCCAAGAGTGTGCCACTGCACTTCAGCCTGGGTGACAGAGTGAGACTCTGTCTCCAAAAACAAAGAAACAAACAAACAAAAAAACCACATTATTCTCATTAACAGAAATAATTAGTCCAAGTGGCAAGAAGCAGAATATTTCATTTTAATGATACTTTCATCATGCATAAAAGATAACAAAAGAATGGTCACGCTATGTCATAATTTTCACTACTGAGTGACACAGTAAAGTTGACTAAAATAATTTATCAAAAAATTTAGTATAAATATGTCACAAGCTAGCCCCAGCCCACTGGGGAGGAAAAACAAACAAACAAACAAACAAAAAAAACCCACCTGCATCTGCTCCCTAGCTCTTTTCTCACAGATATTCTACTACCAAAGGAAATAACTTACATTTCAAAAATATAATGCTTCTTCCCTGCCTCCTCTCTGCTAACTCCCAAGTAGATAATGATTTTTAAAAGGCCGGGCCAGGCACAGTGGCTCACACCTGTAATCCCAGCATTTTGGGAAGCTGCTTGAGCTCAGGAGTTCAAGACCAACCTGGCCAACATGGCGAAATCCTGTCTCTACTAAATACAAAAGTTAGCCAGGCGTGGTGGTGCTCGCTTATAATACCAGCTACTCAAGAGGCTGAAGCACGAGAATCACTTGAACCTGGGACGCGGAGGTTGCAGTGAACAAAGATTGCACCACTGTACTCCAATCTGGGAAACAGAGCAAAGTTCTGTCTCGAAAATAAATAAGAGGCCATTTTCTTTCTTTTTCTTACTTGCTTCTGTCACTCAATAAAAAGCCTTTTTCGTTTCCTACCTTATGCCTATATCCTTTTTCTTTCTGTTTCCCTCTTCTCCTAAGGACAGGTAGCTCTTCGAATTGATGTCTGCCTTCAAACATGACGATTGCTTTTCCAGCCACCCAGGCTCTCTCAGAAGGATCTCCAAAAGCCTCCACGTAGTACTGCCGATAGGGCCTCCGGTTGGAAACTAGGTAAGGGTAAGAGAACCAGAATCATTAGATCAAAGAAATTACTTCTCATCATTAAGAGAACAGCCACATCATTGCCGCCAAAGAAGACTGTCTGGAAACAACTAACATGCCCACTGAACTAGACAACCTAGAATAGATCATACACAAGGAAAATTTTAAGTATTATATATGTGTGGCAAGAAAATACACAGGAGGTTATGAAAGAATCAGTAGTCTAGTCTGATGACGTGGTATAGCTTCAAAACCAGCTAAATGTAGATTAACTACAAAGAAGAAATTAAGATAGTAGACAGGTAAGTTTCCTTCACTATCAGTCTATAATTTCATTGTTCCAAAAATACAGAAGATGTATATAGTAAGCCCACAGCAACAAAAATATATATACAAAAAAAAACCCAAGAAAACGTGAAAAACACTAGGCTAATATAAAGAAGAAGAAATGTTTCAGCAAAGCAACATGTATGATCTGTTAACATTTATAGTGTAGCTACTCATAGACGAGCACCACACAAGGTGCTTTGCATGGATTCCTCCCCACAACCACACCCCCAAAATAATGTATGGTTTTGGTATTTTAGATATAGTAAGTTCAATAACTTCAGAGAGAACAAGCGCATGGTCAAACACTGGTTTTGCAAAGAAAGTGAAATGCAATATTTCAAATTAGGGAAATTTTAAAAGAAAAAGGAAAGCCTACCAGTAATAAAACCAAAAATAAATCCAGTTTAGCCTATAATTTCTTGGTTATCTAAAGTTCTATACATACAATTAAAAATATGAAAATACAAATCCCATCTAGAAAAGATTATAATTCATCTAGTATATGTTATCTTCCACACATTTACAATTTTATTAGCAACTTTTATTACACTAAAAAGTGTCACAAAAGAAAGTCAGGACAACACATGTTTAACAATTTGTCACTTTTAATAAAAGGAAATAAAAATCATTTTATACGAAAATTCATTTTAACTCACATCTAGTTCCCTTGTAACAACCATGTCTTATTTCAAAACACAGAAAAGAATCCAAATAACCTTTGGAAGAATTATGGAATGCCTACTTCCCTCAGAATGCAAAATGAAAAATGAAAAAAGAAAGACAAAGGAGAGAAGGGATTTATAAACTGAACTGTCAACGGTAACTTCTCTGTAAATGCTGGTTTCAAAAGTGTACACATGGTAGTTTTTCTATTAAAAAACATAGCTTAATAATGAAACTAAAACTTAGTTAAATTTTGTGTTGTCTGGTTCATTTTAAAAACAAACTGAAAAAAAAAATGAACTCCTTATTTCCCACCTACTGAATTAAATCCTTCAATAAAAATCACCTACAGGAACTGGAACTGGTTAATATACACATGTGTGTACCTATACAGAGGTTCTTAAAGTCAATTTGAGAATTAAATCACTCTCCCATGAGTCAATACATTGAACTGGCCAGGTGTAGGGGCTCACACCTGTAATCCCAATACTTTGGGAGGCAGAAGTGGGAGGACTGCTTGAGCCCAGGAGTTCGAGACCAGCCTGGGAAACATAGCAAGACCCTATCTCTACTAAAAATAAAAATACTGGCTGAGGATGGTGGCATGTGCCTGTAGTCCCATCTATTTGGGAGGCTGAGAAGGGAGGATCACTTCATCCTCAAAGGTCAAGAATACAGTGAGCCATTATCACGCCACTGCACTCCACCCTGGCAGTACAGCAAGCCCCTGTCTTAGAAATAAATAAATAAATAAATTTCATTAACAGATCAAGAACTTCTGATGTGCCAGCAACGTGAGGAGAAAAAAGAACTCACTGTCTGACAGATAAGTCATATATAAATGATTACAGTACAAAAGGCATGACAACTGCAAAAATAAACACTTATTTCTTAAAAAAAACCACTCAATTATAAGTGGGAGGAGACAAATGAAGTACTTGAACAACTTTTTTTTTTTTTTCTGAGACGGAGTTTCACTCTTGTTGCTCAGTCTGGAGTGCTATGGCATGATCTTGGCTCACTGCAACCTCTGCCTCCCAGGTTCAAGCGATTCTCCCGCCTCAGCCTCCCAAGTAGCTGGAACTACAGGCATGCGCCACCACGCCCAACTAATTTTTTGTATTTTTAGTAAAGACGAGATTTCCTCATGTTGGTCAGGCTGATCTCAAACTGCCGACCTCAGGTGATCCGCCCGCCTCGGCCTCCCAAAGTGCTGGGATTACAGGCGTGAGCCACCGCGCCAGGCTGAACAACTTTTAAAGTTAAACAGTTTGGCCAGGTGGGATGGCTCATGCCTGTAATCCCAGCCCTTTGGGAGGCTGAGGCAGGCGGATCACCTGAGGTCAGGAGTTCAAGACCAACCTGGCCAACATGGTAAAGCCCTGTCTCTACTAAAAATACAAAAAGTAGCCGGGCGTGGTGCAACTTGCCTGTAATCCAAGCTACTTGAGAGGCTGAGGCATGAGAATCGCTTGAACTCAGGAGGCGGGGGTTGCAGTGAGCTGAGATCCCACCACTGCACTCTAGCCTGGACAAGAGTGAGACACCATCTCAAAAAAAAAAAAAAAAGTAAACAGTTAAAGATAGAATTATAGTATGAGGGCACAGAACCCTCAAAGGCATGAATGAATAAAACTAAACAAAACTACAAGTAGTTCTAAACACTATCATAAACTAGAAGAAAAGGGAAACTAATAAAGGTTGGGCAGCAACCAGACTTGTAAGAGTTTGCATGGCATGTTAAGATCTTAGCCATTACAGCTTTGACTTTTAGCTGACTTTTAGTCCCAGCTACTCGGGAGACTGAGGCAGAAGAATCGCTTGAACCCAGGAGGCAGAGGTTGCAGTGAGCCAAGATCCCGCTACTGCACTCCAGCCTGGGAGACAGAGCAAGACTCTGTCTCAAAAAACAAATAAAAAACAACAAAAAAGACACAGATGCTTAGGTTGGACACAGTGGCTCACACCTATAATCCCAGCACTTTGGGAGGTGGAGGCAGGCAGATCACCAGAGGTCAGGAGTTTGAGACCAGCCTGGCCAACATGGCGAAACCCAGTCTCTACTAAAAATACAAAAATTAATGCCAGGTGTGGTGGTATGCACCTGTAATCCCAACTGAGGCAAGAGAATCACTTGAACCCAGGAGACAGAAGTTGCAGTGAGCCAAGATCACGCCTCATTGCACTCCAGCCTGAGCAACAAGAGTGAAACTCCATCCAAAAAAAAAAAAATACAAAAACACCAGATACTATACAATGTTTATAGAAACACTGTTCAGAATGGCCAAAAGGAAAACAACCCAAATGTTCTCTGATGGATGAATGGAAAAACAAAATGTGGTACTTACAATACAATGACGTATTATGTAGCCTTTAAAAAAATTGAGAGAGAGAGAAAGAAATTCAGAAACATACTATAGCATTGATGAACTTAGAAGACATTATGATAAATGAAGTAAGGGGTCAATAGGACAAATGTCTGATTCTAGTTATATGTGGTATCTAAAATAGTCAAATTTATAAGGAAAAAAAACACAGAACAGTGGTTACCAAGGGCTATGGTGATGTTGGTAAATGGGTACAGAGTTTCAGTTTGGGAGATGAAAGAGTCTGGAGATGAATAGTGGTAATGGCTACACAACAATGTTAATATACTTAATGCTACTGAACTGCCTACTTGAAACAATGAAAACATTAGGCGAGGAAAGGTGACTCAGGCCTGTAGTCCCAGCACCTTGGGAGGCTGAGGCAGGACAGCACCTTGGGAGGCCGAGGCGGGAGGATCACTTAAGGTCAGGAGTTCAAGAACGGCCTGGCCAACATGGTGAAATCCTGTCTCTACTAAAAATACAAAAATGAGCCAGGCGTGCTGGCACATGCCTGTAGTCCCAGTTACTCGTATAGTCCCAGCTACTCAGGAGGCTGAGGCAGAAGAACTGCTTGAACCCAGGAGGCAGAGGTTGCAGTGAGCTGAGATCCTGCCACAGCCTGGGCAACAGAGCAGGACTCTATCTCAACAAAACAAAACAAAAAAAAAACATTAAATTTATGTTTTGTCTATTTTTTAAAAGTCAAATAACCAATGATGGGGATATGGGAAAAATCAGAACCAATGCATTCCTAGTGGAAACGTATCCCCATTGTAAGTTGAGGAGCACAACAGATTTGTGGAAAAATTATAAACAAATCACAGATGCTCCATGACATACCCATTATAAGCTGAAAATATTAAGTTGAGGCCGGGCGTGGTGGCTCGCTCCTGTAATCCCAGCACTTTGGGAGGCCGAGGTTGGCAGATCACGAGGTCAGGAGATGGAGAACATCCTGACCAACATGGTGAAACCCCGTCTCTACTAAAAATTAAATTAGCCGGGCGTGGTGGCAGGTGCCTGTAATCCCAGCTACTCAGGAGGTTGAGGCAGGAGAATTGCTTGAACCAGGATGTCAGAGGTTGCAGTGAGCTGAGATCGTGCCACTGCACTCTAGTCTGGTGACAGAGAGAGACTCCATCTCAAAAAAAAAGAAAAGAAAAGAAAAGAAAAGAAAAGAAAATATTAAGTTGAATATGAAGGCTGGCCAGACGCAGAGGCTTCACGCCTATAATCCAAACACTTTTTGAGGCCAAGGCAAGAAGACTGTTTGAGCCCAGTAGTTCAAGACAAGCATGGGCAATACAGGGAGACCCTGTCTATAAAAAAATTTAAAAATTAGCTGGGCATGGTGGCCCTTGCCTGTAGTTCCAGCTACTTGGGGGGCTGAGGCAGGAGAATCACATGAGTCCAAGAGGCAGAGGTTGCAGTGAGCTGACATCGCGTCACTACACTCCAGCCTGAGCAACAAAGCAAGACCCTGCCTCTAAAAAAAAAATAATAATTAGAAAATGCATTTAATACACCTAGCCTACGCTAAACATGCTCAGAACACTTACATTGGTCTACAGTTGTGCAATATTTCTGACACAAAGCCTATTTTAAAATTAACTGCTGAATATCTCCTGTAATTTACTGAATACTACATTGAAAGTGAAAAACAGAATGGTTCTACAGGTAACTTGAAGTACCATTTCTATTTAATGTGTATCGCTTTCGCACCATTGTAAGGTCGAAAAATTCTAACTCAAATTGGGGACCTACTACATATGAAATGTCTAGAATATGCAAATCCACAGAAACAGAAAGTACATTAGTGGTTGCTTAAGGCAAACACGTATGGGTGTGGAAAGATGGAGACAGAGGAAGCTAAAGAGTATGGGGTTCCATGTTAGGGTGATGAATATATTTTCAAATTGACATCTTGGTGAAAACTTCAAGTATGGAGTTGAGTATACAAATCTAAAGCCTGGATAAAGACTATCACTAAGGATATGAATTCAGCTTACTGACGACAATTTAAAACTCAGAGTTAGTAAGACTGTCATTCAAGAAGGATGAAAAAGGGCTATTACAGACTAAATGTTTGTGTCCTCCTGAAATGCATTATTCTGAAGCCTTGACCCCCCCATATGTTGGTGTTTACAGGTGAGGCCTTTGGAGTAAGTAGATTTACTAATTTTATACACTAAATATACTAAGAATACTAAATACTATTACTAGATTAGTAATAGGTCCCTCATGATGGAGGTGACCTCATGATGCAACTAGTCTCCTTAAAAGAAGATGCCACAGTGAGTACTTTCGCTCTCTGCCAAATGACGACACAGCAACAAGGTGGTTATCTACAAGTCAGGAAGACAGCCCTCACTTGGGATCCGAATTGGCTAGCACCTTCATCTTGAAACTTCCCTGTCTCTAGAGTCAAAAATAAATTGGCCAGGCACAGTGGCTCACACCTGTAATCTCAGCACGTTGGGAGGCCAAGGCGGGAGGATCACTTAAGGCCAGGAGTTCAAGACCAGTTCATGCAACATAGGGAGATCTTGTCTCTACAAAAAATATAAAAATTAGCCAAGTGTTGTGGTGCACACCTGTAGTCCCAGCTACTGAGGAGGCTGAGGTGGAAGGAGTGCTGGAGCCCTGGAGCACTGGAGCCTGGGAGATGGAAGTTGCAGTGAGCTGTAATTGTGCCACTGCACTCCAGCCTGAGTGACAGAGCAAGACTCTTTCTCAAAAATAAGACTAATATTAAAATAAAAAATAACAACAAAAAATAAAAATCCTTCTGAATCCTATATACCTATCTGCCTGCAGCATCCTCCCTTCTCTGTCTCTGTCTCCATTGCCTCAAATCAGTCCAATCTAACTTCTACCTCAATGAAACCAACAACAACAAAAAAGGTACTCGTGATCTCCACCTTCTTATCCCTAATGGACATTTTATTTGCTCTCTAGGCAACACTCAGCAAAATTGACCACATCGTCCTTAAACTACAGTGGTCCCAGCTCACGTGAGACTTCACTTTCGATGGTTTCAGTTACCTGTGATACAGTAAAATAAGCTATTGGGGTCGAAGGTAGGGGACAGATTCCCATAACTTTTATTACAGTGTAATTGTTCTGTTTTATTTATTTTTTGAGATGGAGTCTCGCACTCTCGCCCAGGCTGGAGTGCAGTGGCGTCATCTTGGCTCACTGCAAGCTCCGCCTCCCGGGTTCACACCATTCTCCTGCCTCAGCCTGCCAAGTAGCTGGGACTACAGGCGCCCGCCACCCTGCCCAGCTAATGTTTTGTATTTTTAGTAGAGACAGGGTTTCACCTTGTTAGCCAGGATGGTCTCCATCGCCTGACCTTGTGATCCGCCTGCCTCGGCCTCCCGAAGTGCTGGGATTATAGGCGTGAGCCACTGCACCCGCCCTGTTTTATTATTAGTTGTTACTGATCTCTTACAATACCCAATTTATTTTTTATTTACTATTTTTTTTTTTTTAGATGGAGTCTTGCTCCATTGCCCAGGCTGGAGAGCAGTGGTATGATCTCGGCTCATTGCAACTTCCACCTCCCAAGTTTAAGCAATCCTCCTGCCTCAGCCTCCCCAGTAGCTGGGATTACAGGCATCCACCACCACGCCCAGCTAATTTTTTGTGTGTTTTTAGAAGAAACAGGGTTTCACCATGTTGGCCAGGCTGGCTTTCAACTCCTGACCTCAAGTGATCCGCCCGCCTCGGATTCCCAAAGTGCTGGATTGCAGGCGTGAGCCACCACAACCAGCCACAATGCCCAATTTATAAATGATACTTTATAATAGGTATGTATGTACAGGAAAAACATTATATATATGGGATTCAGTACTATCCAGTTTCAGGCATCCACTGAGAATCTTAGAACATATCCCCAGTACATACTACTGTACTCTAGCCACATTCTCCTACTTTTCCTCTTCCACCTGTTTCATCTGATTCTTTTTCATCATTCTTTTTCAGCAAGCTCAGTCTCTTTCATACAGATGTCAAATGATGTCTTCCTCAATGTACCTTTTGTCTCATAGTATCTTTTGTCCCAAAAAATCTCACCCATGCCTTGCCCATGGCTCCAACTAATATGAACAAGAATATGTCCTTTCTGAGTTATAGATGCTCTGGTGTTCTCTCAGTAAATGACGATCTATTCAGCCATCCAGTGATGAAGCTAAAAACGTGGGAGCCATCCTATGATATGGAAACCTGAGAACTGAAAGCCTCAGGACTTCATTCTCCCTCAGTCAACATTATCCAATGCATTACTACATCAGATGCATTTTACCTCCTCATCTGTTTTTATTTTCTATTCGCAATTTTCATCACACCATAATCACTAATAATGACTTAACTGTCTCTTTTTACTTATTTGTGGTCCCCTTCTAACACATGTTCAACAATCCAGCCACAGTGAACTTTTAAAATGAACAGATCAGAGCATGGCGGCTCCTGCTAAACACTTTTTAATTATATACATTGTTTCTGAGATAAAAATAACAAAATTTTTTAACAAAGTCAACAAGGCACTGAACACTTTGTCCCATATCTACTTCCCAGCCTCATACTGTGCCACCCTCCCTTACTCTGTGAGCTGCAGATTCCTGGAACCATCTTCTTCTCTCTTCCCTAGTTAACTCCCAACTCATCCTCTCAAGTAACAGATCAGAGATAACTTTATTAGCAAACACCACTGATGAAGAGTCCAGGTCAGTTATCCCTGTTATATCACTGAATAGGCATCAAAATTGTTCCTTGGACAGACTTCTCAGTTAAGTAATAATGCATTTGATTATTTTCTGGTGTCTTGTCCCTTATACTAGATTCTAATTTCTCATGAGAGCAAGCAGTATAGATGTATGGCCCAATAATGAATCCCAAAACCTAGCACAGTACTCAATCTATACAAGGTATTTACTATTTGTCAAATAAATAGCATGGACTCAACTAGTATGCATAAGAAACACTATAAATAGGCTGAGTGCGGTAGCTCCTGTCAGTAATCCCAAGTACTTTGGGAGGCCGAGGCGGGCAGATCGCTTGAGCCCAGGAGTTTCAGACCAGCCTGGGCAACAAGGCAAAACCCTGTCTCTACAAAAAAATTAAAAACTAAGCCAGGCATAGTGGCGAATGCCTGTAGCCCCAGCTGCTTGGAAGGCACAGGAGGGAAGATCGCTTGACCCTGGGAAGCTATGGCTGCAATGAGTCATGATCACGCCACTGCATTCTAGCCTGGGCAATAGAACGAGACCCTCAATCAAAAGAGAGACGAGGAGAGAGAGAGAGAGAGACACCCTAATGAGTAAGAAACCAGCAGTCATAGGGACAGGGAGGTTAGAAAAGAAGGACTCAGAGTTTTCTAGTAGTAGAATTTAAATATCCAGACAGGTCACAAAGGATAAGGTATCAACATTTTTTTTGAATTAAAGAGAAAGTGTCTCATTGTATTGCCAAGGCTGGTCTCAAACTCCTAGGCTCAAGTGATCCTCCCACCTCGGACTCCCAAAGTGCTGGGATTATAGGCATGAGCTACCGTGTCTGGTCAAGGTATTAAATTTTTAACACACTAAGTTATTTTCTTCTTTTGAGACAGAGTCTCGCTCTGTCACCCAGGCTGTAGTGCAGTAGTGTGATCTTGGATCACGGCAACCTCCACATCCCGGGCTCAAGCAATTCTTCTGCCTCAGCCTCCCCAGTAGCTGGGATTGTAGGAGCATGCCAACACACCTGGCTAATTTTTGTATTTTTAGTAAACACAGGGTTTCACCATGTCAGCCAGACTGGTCTCGAACTCCTGACCTCAGGTGATCTGCCCGCCTTAGCCTCCCAAAGTGCTGGAATTACAGGTGTGAGCCACTGCGCCCAGACACAAAACCTAGTACTGTGCTAGGTTCTGGCACCTGTAGTCCCAGGTACTCGGGAGGCTGAGGCAGGAGAATGGTGTGAACCCAGGAGGTGGAGCTTGCAGTGAGCCGAGATTGTGCCACTGCACTCCAACCTGGGAGACAGAGCAAGGCTCTGCCTCAAAAAAAAAAAAAAAAAAAAAAAAAGACACTAAAATTTATAAAGGTTTTTGGGCACCTCATTATTCAAAATATAAAATCAAATCCAGGAATTCTACTTTGGAGAAATCATCCTTTTTAAAAAAAAAAAAAAAAAAAAAAAGAGGCATGGTGACTCACACATGTAATTCCAGCACTCCGGAAGGCCAAGGTGGGAGGATCCCTTATTAAGCTCAGGATTTCAAGACCAGCCTGGGTAATATATGGAGACACTATCTCCACCCAAAAAAAAAAAAAAAAAGCCATGTGTGGTGGCACACGTCTGTGCTCCCAGCTATTCCAGCTATTCCAGCTATTCAGGATGCTGAGGTTGGATGACTGTTTGAGCCCTGGAGATCAAGGCTTCAGTGAGGCGTTGTTATGCCATTACACTCCAGCCTAGGCAACAGAATGAGATCCTGTCTCAGAAAAATAAACAAATACATAAATAATAAAAATATGAAAAAAATCTCCACAAAGTGGAAAAGGCAAGCTGCAAAATATACAATGTTCTGTTTGTGATAAAGGAAAGACGTGGAAGATGACTAAGAAGTATGTATTTACTCATGTAAATAAAAATATAATTTATATGAAAAAACATTATGTATATAAAAATATATTAATATCAGCCAGGTGTGGTGGCTCACGCCTGTAATCCAAACACTTTGGGAGGCCAAGACCTGTGGTTCACTTGAGGTCAGGAGTTTGAGACCAGCCTGGCCAACATGGTGAAACCCCGTCTCTACTAAAATACAAAAATTAGCTGGGCATGGTGGCACGCACCTGTAATCCCAGCTACTCTGGAGGCTGAGGCAGGAGGAGAATTGCTTGAACCCGGGAGGCAGAGGTTGCAGTGAGCCGAAATTGCGCCACTGCACTCCAACGTACGTGACAGAGCAAGATTCCGTCTCAAAACAAAACAACAACAACAACAACAAAAATTAATATCAATTGGTTGCCTGTTGAAAGGAGTGAAGAATGTGGCGGATCACAGCAAAGCAGAGAGTAAGCTGATTTTTCTGAATCTCACCAACATCTGACTTTCAGAAACTAAAATACATATATTAAAACTAAAATAAAATCACTACCATCCTAACAGAAAAAAGGACAGCTCAAATCAAGTTTCAGGCCAGGTGCAGTGGCTCACACCTGTAATCCCAACACTTTGGGAGGCTGAGGAAGGAGGATCACCTGAGGTCAGGAGTTCAAGACCAGCCTGGCCAACATGGTGAAACCCCATCTCTACTAAAAATACAAAAATTGGCCCGGCACGGTGGCTCACGCTTGTAATCCCAGCATTTTGTAAGGCCGAGGCAGGCAGATCACGAGGTCAAGAGATCAAGACCATCCTGGTTAACACGGTGAAATCCCGTCTCTACTAAAAATACCAAAAAAATTAGCCAGGCATGGTGGCGGACGCCTGTAGTCCCAGCTACTCGGGAGGCTGAGGCAGGAGAATGGCATGAACCCAGCAGGCAGAGCTTGCAGTGAGCCGAGATCACGCCACTGCACTCCAGCCTGGGAGACAGAGCAGAAATTCTTCTCTAAAATAAAATAAAATAAAAATAAATCAAGTTTCAGCCCCATCCTTTAGAGTAATTTAAAACTAAGGTACCTAAGATTCAAACACAACAATCAACTGAAAAACAAACAATAGCATTTAAAGGAAATACTCCAAATTAAAATTTTAAACTTCAAAATTATTAATAAACATTTACAATTGTTTCAGCTTTTATATTATAAAAAATGATACAAACCTGATTAAAGTAGAAATACGTAAATATACTAAAAGGTGATTCCGGACAATGTAAACATTAGAAAAATGGCCTAACACCTTCCTGGCATCAACAGAATAATTGAGAATGTTTAAATCAGCCGGGCACAGTGGCTCACGCCTGTAATCCCCATACTTTGGGAGTCTAAGGCGGGCGGATCACCTCATCTCAGGAGTTCAAGACCAGCCTGGCCAACATGGTGAAACCCCGTCTCTACTAAAAATACAAAAATTAGGCCTGGTGCAGGGCTCATGCCTGTAATCTCAGCACTTTGGGAGGCCAAGGCAGGCAGATCGCCTGAGGTCGGGAGCTCGAGACCAGTCTGACCAACATGGAGAAACCCCGTTTCTACTAAAAATACAAAATTAGCTGGGCGTAGTGGCACATGCCTGCAATCCCAGCTACTGAGGAGGCTGAGCCAGAAGAATTGCTTGAACCCGGGAGGCAGAGGTTGCGGTAAGCTGAGATCACGCCACTGCACTCCAGCCTGGGCAACAAGAGCAAAACTCCATCTCAAATAAAAAATTAAAAAAAAAAACAAAAAACAAAAATTAGCCAAGCGTGGTGGCGGATGCCTGTAATCCCAGCTACTCGGGAGGCTAAGGCAGGAGAATCGCTTGAACTCACAAGTCAGAGGTTGCAGTGAGCTGAGATTGCACCACTACAGTCCAGCCTGGGCAACAAGAGCGAGACTCCGTCTCAAAAACAAACAAACAAAAAAAAAAAACTGAGAGAAGGTTTAAATCATAGAGTAAAACGAACTTTTAAAAGCCCCAAAAGATAAAATATGTAACACCAATTCATTCACAAAATGTTCCAAGGAAAAAAATATATTATTATTAAGATAACAAAAATTGAGTTATTCTAAAGGCAACTGCCTTTAACATGTATAATCACTGCAAGTATTACCTTTCATTTTTGAATGTGTGTTAATCAACGGATCAGAACAAATCCTGCAGGGCCACCATGGGCGTCTCTTGAATTTTGCCCAGATGAGATCTCCAACTTCATACTTCAGTGGCGTAGACTTTTTCTTAGGTTGACACTTTAGACAGACAAAACATGGGGCATCAATAAGAATCAAAATATTTTGAAACATTATTGTCATTCCTATTAGCCTTCTGAAAAAGCAATGTATGAAAAATTGAGAATGAAAACACTCTAGCCTAAAAAGAATTACAAAATAAGTACAACTAAATTATTCCATCTTAATTGTTCATAACATAGCCCTTTATACATAGTTCTCAACTTATAATTGTTTTATATAATGAATCTATCCGTATTTTGAAAATAAAATTAAGCTGGCTTTATTTTTAAAGAACTAAAAACACACACAATAAAGAAAATCATCCGAAGGAAAAGACACCCTTGATCTAGTCCTTGGATCAAAACACAAAGGGAAAAAAAAAATGGAGAAAAAATTATAGGAAGAATTTTTAATAATATCAAGAGACTTCAGACCCTTCTGCATGTGATATTCTACATGCTTTTCAAACCAATATTTCTATTAGCGTATTAACAATAGTAATAGCCAGGAGTGGTGGCACATGCCTGTAGTCCCAGCTAACACTTTACTTTCAGACATAAGCCCCAGAGAAAACAGCAAAGAATTCTTCTAAATACTCACAGAAGTTAAATCTCATTAAAAATACTGGGATTGGCTGGGCACAGTGGCTCATGCCTGTAATCCCAGCACTTTGGGAGGCCGAGGCAGGTGGATCACCTGAGGTCAGGAGTTCGTGACCGGCCTGGCCAACATGGTGAAACCTTGTTCTACTAAAAATACAAAAATTAGCCGGGGGTGTTAGCGGGCACCTGTAATCCTACCCAGTTACTTGGGAGGCTGAGACAGGAGAATCGCTTGAACCCTGGAGGCGGAGGTTGCAGCGAGCCAAGAGCCACCGTACTTTAGCCTCGGCGACAGAGAGACTCTTCAAAAAAAAAAAAGAAAAAAAAAAAAAAGGCTGGGTGCAGTGGCTCATGCCTGTAATCCCAGCACTTTGGGAGGCCGAGGCGGGCAGATCACGAGGTCAGGAAATCGAGACCATCCTGGCTAACACGGTGAAACCCCGTCTCTACTAAAAATAAAAAATTAGCTGGGCATGGTGGCGGGCGCCTGTAGTCCCAGCTACTCGGGAGGCTGAGGCAGGAGAATGGCGTGAACCCAGGAGGCGGAGCTTGCAGTGAGCCGAGATGGCGCCACTGCACTCCAGCCTGGGAGACAGAGCAAGACTCCGTCTCGGAAAAAAAAAAAACCTGGGATTAGTTCCTCCTGTATATAGAGCTACTAGAAAATGAAACAAGAACTACATCTTACTTTCTTTTAAAAAGCTCTAAGGGGCCAGGCACAGTGGCTCACATCTGTAATCCCAGTACTCTGGGAGGCCGAGGTAGGCAGATAACTTGAGGCCAGGAGTTTGAGATCAGCCTGGCCAACACAGCGAAACCCTGTCTCTGCTAAAAAGAGAAAAAAATACAAAAATTGGCAGGGCATGGCGGCGCATGCCGGTAATCCCAGCTACTCGGGAGGCTGAGGCAAGAGAATTGCTTGAACCAGGGAGGCAGAGGTTGCAGTGAGCCAAGATTGCGCCACTGCACGCCGGCCTGGGCAACAGAGTTAGACTCTGCCTCAAAAGTAAAAAGAATAAAATAAAATAAAAAGCCCTAAGGGGGCCAGATGCTGTGGCTCTTGCCTATAAATTCCAGCACTTTGGGAGGCTGAGGTGACAGGATCACTCCAGCCTAGGAGTCTGAGATCAGCCTGGACAACATGTCAGACCCAGTCTCTACAAAAAATTTAAAAAATTAGCTGGGCATGGTGGTGCATGCCTGTACTCCCAGCTGCTTGGGAGACAGGTAGGAGGACTGCTTGAGCCCAAGAATTCGAGGCTACAGTGGACCATGTTCATGCCCACTGCACTCCAGCCTGTGCTACAGAGTGAGATCTGTCTTTAAAAAAATCTAAGGGACCATATTGATGGTTATCAAGTAAATTCTCAAAAAGAATACGACTTCAAAGTTAATTGACTTTGAAACTTTAAGAGATACCAAGAATCGATGGGAAAGACAAATATTTTATCTGTACTGAAAACTGCAATCTGAGTAGGTTCCAATAAATTTATTATATAATTTGATTTTTGATTATTTAAATATGATTTATTTGGCACTGCTAAATATGGAACTTGCTTATTTATTCAAGTCCTAAATGACTTCAAATACATTAAGTAACATGATGTTTGCTACATGCAAGGCACTGTTCTTCAAGTAAACACATTATTACCCATTATTTTACTACATGCCTGTGGTTACATAGTTATTAAGTGACAGAACCAAGGATTCAAACCTGGGGAGATACAACTCCAGAGCCTAAATTCTTAAACCACTCTCCTGTTATCCAATAACAACAAAACCTCATTATTATTATATGCTTTATGACAAATTTAACTATAACCAATCTAGCACATGTTGTTGGTTCTGTCTTCTCCTCAGAGAACTACTACAAAAAGATTACATTGTATTTTTGGAAGTATAATCATAAAATACATGCATTCAATAGACAGAGGAGAAAGAATGTCAGTGGTATCAGGTAAAGACAATAGCCAGAACCACAGAACCAGAGAAAGTAGTAATAAATCCTCTCTTCTGACTCCATCACAAACTGTGTCACCTTCAAAAAGTCTGTTAATTTGGTCTCAGTTTCCTAAGCCACAAAATTGGGAAAGTAACACCTACTCTATAATACACCATCAAAATGAGTAACTAGTAATTCAGCTCCCAGTATTTTAAGCCCCAAAAATAATTCAAAGTAATTTCCTATAATTCCTAATTCTAGGGTAAGATATTTAAAGCAGGTTTTTGTTTGGTTGGTTTTTTGTGTGTTTTTTTTGAGACAGGTTCTCACTCTGCCTCCCAGGCTGGAGTGCAATGGTGCAATCTTCACTCACTGCAATCTTCGCCTCCTGAGCTCAACCCATCCTCCCATCTCAGTGTTCCAATGCTCACCAACATGCCTGGAAAATTTCTGTATTTTTTGTAGAGATGGAATATAACCACGTTGCCCAAGCTGTTAAAGCATTTTTTTTTTAAAATGACAAAAGTTAATATCCACCAAGAGATCTGTTTAAAAAAATTATGCTAGGAGCCGTGGTGGCTCAGGCCTGTTGTCCTGGTGCATAAGGAGGCGAGGCTGGGCGTTCAAGGCCAGCCTGGCCAACACAGAAACCTCTCATCTATATAACCAAAAAAAATTATGCTATTACAACTCTATGAAATATGCTAAGATGTCATATCTTAAAGATAACAGAGCTATACATACACTGTATGATCCATTATAAACTAGGCTGAAGCAATAATGATGACCTTAAAAAAACTTTTAAATAACAAGGCCATTGAGAAACACAAATTTTAAAGTTTCATTAATTGATGGTACAATGAGTAAAGACTTTAACAAACCCCTATTTACTTTCTTCTATCTTGAAAAATTTACATGACCAAATAAAATAACATATGCAAACCCACTGGAAAAATAAATCTATATAAATACACATTAATACTTTCGTTCATAGACAATAAGGACCAAATCCAACTGATCTTAATAAATAAACTTAGAAACAGGCAAGAATTCCAGACCACAGAAAAGCTTCTAAACATGAAAATAAGAACAAGGGTGTAAAAAAGCAAGACGACTTTAAGACCAGCTTAAAAATTTTATCTTGCAGAGACAGACACTAAAATAAATCCATTTAAGCCCATAATTCAACTACACACAAACTTAGTAAACACCTATGTACAAAGCTCAACAAGACACACAAAGACGAATAAGTCACAATTCCAGATCCCAAGACACTTGGGAAAAGAGATCAGAGAAAATGTAAGTAAAGAAGTGGCATCTTCCAGGCTTAGACTGGCAGGACTGGCAGATTTCAGAATGGCTTTTTCTAATGTCTATAGGTCCAGTTGGAAATAATATACTGGTACTAAGCCTTTTTTATATATGGTATTGGGCCGAATTCTGTGTACACTGCCACTCTACACACACACAAGATATACTCCTCCCTAACCCAGTAGCTGTGAATGTGATCTTATTTGAAAGTAGGGTCTTTGCAGTTGATCCAGATGAAGTCACAAGGGTGGGCCTTAATTCAGTGCAACTGTTTCCTAATAAAATGGAGAAATTTGGAAACAAAGACAGGCACAAATAGAGGGAAGACAACGTGAAAACACAGACAGAACACAATCTATTAACCAAGGAAAGCCTGAGGTCAGACATTAGGAGAGGGACAGGGACAGATACACACTCACAGTCCTCAAAACAATGTGCTGACAACTTGAGTTTGTACTTCTAGCTTCCCGAACTGAGAGAGAATTTCTGCTGTTTAAGCCAGCTAGTTTGTGGTATTGCATTACAACAGCCCCCCAAAACTAATACACATACATTATTTTGCTTACCCCTCACAACCTTACAAGACAGCATTATCTCGATTTTGCAGATAAAGAAACTGAGGCTCAAAAAGGTTAAGTCACAGGCTGGGTGCGGTGGCTCATGCCTGTAATCCCAGCACTTTGGGAGGCCAAGGTGGGAGAATCACTGGAGGTCAGGAGTTCAAGACCAGCCTGGCAAACATGGTGAAACCCCATCTCTACTAAAAATACAAAGATTAGCCGAGCATGGTGGTGTGTGCCTGTAATCCCAGCTACTTGGGAGGTTGAGGCAGAAGAATCGCTTGAACCTGGGAGGCGGAGGTTGCAGTGAGCCAAGATCTTACCACTGCATTCCAGCCTGGGCAACGGAGTGAGATTCCAGCTCAAAAAAAAAAAAAAAAAAAAAAGTTAAGTCACAATTGTAACGATTAGAATTTAAATCCATATCTGAATAACTCTAAAGACCATGTTTTTTGCATTAGAAATAAATATGGCTAGAATTTGTTTGCAAAGTGTTTAAATCCAACCTAAAAGCTAACTAGATTTAAAACCTCCCATTTTCTTTTTGATTGTTGGTTTGTTTTTTGAGACACAGCCTCAGTCTGTCACCCAGGCTGGGGTGCAGTGGCGCGTTGATTTCAGCCACTCGAATAGCTGGGACTAAAGGCACACACCACCACACCCAGAACACAGGTCTCCCTGTGTTCCCCAGGCTGCTTTCGAACTCTTGGTCTCAAGCAATCCTCCTACCTTGTCTTCCCAAAGTGCTGGCATTATAGGCCTGAGCCACCACGGCCACCTTATATTCCTTATTTCACTGACAGTGACGTATCACTTTATATTAAACTAACCCAGAAAAGCTCGTCACTACCATCTTCGAAAATCACTAAAGGCTTAAGACATCTCTACAACTCTAACTAAGAAGTGGCTCTTGAGCCAAAAGTTCTGTTTAAAGGAATTTTGGACGAGATCTTTACTTTCACTAATGAATTTTTCTAGCAACAGTTAAAAATCAAACCTATGTTGCACTTCTGAGGATTTTTTAAAAAAACCTAAACCGGTTCAACTATGTTCCTGGTCATATGGGATATGCTATTTTAATGTAAATTGAATATAGTCATTGGCTATCAATCTCTTCCCAGACATATCCAAAAATTACAGTTGAGCTAAATATTAAAAAATAGCCATAGTGCAACAATTTTTTCTTTTTCGTTTCTGAGACAGGGTCTCCCTATGTAATGCAGGCTAGAGTGCAATGGTGTGATCACAGCCCATTGCAGCTTCCACCTCCTGGGCTCAAGCAATCCTTCCCCCTCAGGCTCCCAGGTAGTTGGGACTACAAACGCACACCACCACACTGGGCTGATTTACATATATATATTATATATAAATATACATATAATATAATATATGTTATATATAATATATTATATATAACATATATTATATGTTATATTATATATTATATATATAAAAAATATATAATATATAATATATAATATAAATTATATAATATAAAATATATAATATATAATATAGTTATATATAAATATATAACTATATTATATATATTTATTTATATATATAAATATATATAATTATATAAAATATATAAATATATTATATATATTAATTATATAAATATATAATATATAATATATATTTAAATATATAAAACTTATATATTATATATATAAATTTATATATATATATATATAATATACATATATAATATATAAATATATAAAATATATTATATATAATATATAAAATATATATAATATATAATATATAATGTATATATATTATAATAAAAAACAAATATATATTATATATATATATAATATATATTTGGTCTCTGTCTCAAAAAAACAAACAAAAAAGCAAATATATATTTGGTTTTGTTTTTTTGAGACAGTCTCGCTCTCATCCCCCAGGCTGGAGTGCAATGGCACAATCTCAACTCAATGCAACCTCCGCCTCCTGGGTTCAAGCGATTCTCCTGCCTCAGCCTCCCGAGTAGCTGGGATTACAGGCGCCTGCCACCATGCCCGGCTAATTTTTGTATTTTTAGGAGAGACAGGGTTTCACCATGTTGGCCAGGCTGGTCTCGAACTCCTGACCTCAGGTGATCCACCAGCCTCCGCCTCCCAAGTGCTGGGATTACAGACGTGAGCCACAGCACCTGGCATTTATATTTTTTGTAGAGACAGGGTTTCACCATGATGCCCAGGCTGGTCCCAAACTCCTGAGCTCAATCAATCCACCCAAATCGCCCTCCTAAAGTACTGGGATTACAGGCATGAGCCACTGCACCCAGCCACAGTTTTTTAGAAAAACTTGCTGAGAATCTATAGTGATACACAACTTGAGGTAAAGACGAGGGGAAGTGGGGGAAGTACTAATGCTTTACATAACAATTATCATAGAAATTATCGCAACTCTAAGGACTCAGTTATTGTTTTAGTTACCAAAAACTCCCATAATATTAAGTTGTTATAAAGAGACGACAGCAATATATAAGACAAAAACACATCCGTTTAGATGCTTGATTTATATGATATCCAAAGCCTACTAAAACTTTTCCACAGCTTAAACTACCCATATTTAAGAATAACGTCATCAAATCAACCCAAGTATAAATACATAATCTCATTTATAAACAAGAAAAGGCCAGGCGTGGTGGCTCAGGCCTGCACAATCCTAGCACTTTGGGAGGCCAAGGTGGGTGATCGCTCGAGGCCAGGATTTCAAGATCAACTTTGGCGAGATCCCATCCTTGCGTGCACACACACACCCACACACACCCACACCAGGCAGACATGGTAGCACACACCTGTAGTTTCAGCAACTTGGGAGGGTAAACTGGGAGGGATGCGTGAGCTTGGGAGGTCAAGGCTGCACTGAGCCATGACTGCCCCACTGCACACCAGCCTAAGTGACAGAGTGAGACCCTGTCTCCAAGAGAAAAAAAAACCCAAAACAAGTAACTAGACTATGTGAGGATATCAAACAAATCTAAAAGAAAAATATAACAATCAAATTAAAGTTTTCCTAAAAATGGACAAAAAATCTGAATAGAAATTACTCAAAAAGACATACGAATGGCAAACAAGAATATGACAAGGTGCTCAGTATCACTGATCATCAGAGAAATGCAAATCAAAACTACAATGAGATACCATCTCAAACAGATAAAATGGCTTTTATCCAAAAGAAAAGAATAAAAGGATGTGGAGAAAAGGGAACCCTCATACGTTGTTGGTAGGAATGTAAATTAGTACAAATCTAGACAACAGTTTGGAGGTTCCTCAAAAAACTAAAAATAGAGCTACCATTTGATCCAGCAATCCCACGACTAGCTATATACAGAAAAGGAAATCAGTATTTCAAATAGACATTTGCCCTCCCATGTTTATTGCAGCACTGTTCACAATAGCCAAGATTTGGAAATAACCTAAGTGTTCAACAGATGAATAAATAAAGCAAATGTGGTACATATACATAATGGAGTGTTATTCAGCCATGAAAAAGAATGAGATCCTATCATTTGCAACAACATAGATGGAACTGGAGATCATTATGTTAGATGAAATAAGTCAGGCACAGAAAGACCAACTTCATGTGTTCTCACTTATTAGTGGGAACTAAAAATTAAAACAATAGAACTCATGCTGATAGACAACAGAAAAATGGTTACTAGAAGCTAGGAAGGGAAGTAGAAAGATGGAAGTGAGGACGGTTAAAGAAAACAAAAGAACAGATGATTCAGTAAGTCCAAAAAAAAGTTAGAAATAATGAATAAGAACTAGAATTTGATAGCACAACAGGTTGATAATAATTTAACTGTATATTTTAAAATAAGAAAAAGGGTATAATTAGATTGTAACACAAAGGATAAATCCTTGAGGGGATGGTAACTCCATTTACCCTAATGTAATTATTACATATTGCATGTCTGTACCAAAATATCTCATGTATATCATAAATATATATACACAAACATTGAAAATAAAATTTTTTCTTAAACACAGAATGACCATATGATGCAGTAACTCTACTCCTAGGTATACAATACCCAAGAATAATGAAAACACATGTCCATACAAAAACTTGCAAAAGCATACCTTGGAGATACTACAGGTTCGGTTTCAAGACTACCACAACAATGCAAATATTGCGATAAAGTGAGTCACGAGAATGCTTCAATTTCACAATACATATATAAAAGTTAGATTTACACTACACAATAGTCTGTGTACAATAGCATTATATATTAAAAATAACAAATTAAGAATGCTTTGTTGTATTCAATGTATAAATTTGGGGGAAAAAATATATAGTGCTAAAAGAAAAGAATATCCAGCCTGGGCAATATAACAAGAACTCATCACTAAAAAAACAAACAAAAAAATTTTACCCCTTAACTGAGGCTGGTTGTGGGGGTTCACACCTGTAATCCCAGCACTTTCGGAAGCCAAGGCAGGAAGACTGCTCGGGCCTAGGACTTCAGGACCATACTTGGCAATATAAGTGAGACCTCATCTTTACTTAAAAAAACAAAAAAAGAGGCCAGGCACGGTGGCTCACGCCTGTAATGCCAGCACTTTGGGAGGCCGAGGTGGGCGGATCACCTGAGGTCAGGAGTTCGAGACCAGCCTGACTAACGTGGTGAAACCCTGTCTCTACTAAAAATACAAAAATTAGCCAGGCGTAATGGCAGGCGCCTGTAATCCCAGTTACTCAGTAGGCTGAGGCAGGAGAATCACTCGAACCCGGGAGATGGAAGGTTACAGTGAGCTGAGATTGCGCCATTGCACTCCAGCCTAGGTGACAGAGCGAGATCCCATTTGAAAAAATAAAAATAAAATAAAAATTTTAAAAAGCGGGGAGGGGAGGGGAAGGGAGGGGAGGAAAAAACAAAGCCAGACTTAGTTGGGGGTGCTGGCACAACCTTGTAGTTCTAGGCAAAACAATCACTTGAGTCCAGGATTTTCAGGTTACAGCAAGCTACGGTTTTATCACTGTACTTGAGCCTGGGAAAGAGAGCAAAACCCTGTCTCTAAAAAATGATCATCTGAGCTGCAAGCTTTATGCTGATGGAGGGTCTTGCCTCAGTGTTCATGGCTGCTTGCTGAAGGTCAGAATGGCTGTGGCAATTTCTGTTTTTTGTTTGTTTGTTTTTGCTGAGACAGAGTCTCACTCAACTGTTGCCCAAGCTGGAATGCAGTGGGACAAAAACAACTCACTGTAGCCTCTGCCTCCTGGGTTCCAGCGGTCCTCTAGCATTGGCCTCCCAAGTAACTGGGACTAAAAGTGCATACCACTATGACCAGCTAATTTTTTTTTTTTTTTTGAGACGGAGTCTCACTCTGTCACCCAGGCTGGAGTGCGGTGGCGCGATCTCCACTCACTGCAAGCTCCACCTCCCGGGTTCACACCATTCTCCTACCTCGGCCTCCCGAGTAGCTAGGACTACAGACGCCCGCCACCATGCCTGGCTAATTTTTTGTATTTTTAGTAGAGACAGGGTTTCACCGTGTTAGCCAGGATGGTCTCGATCTCCTGACCTCGTGATCCGCCCACCTGGGCCTCCCAAAGTGCTGGGATTACAGGCGTGAGCCACTGCGCCTGGCTAATTTTTTAAATTTTTATGTTTCCCCGGATGGCCTCAAACTCCTGGGCTCAAGTGATCCACCTGCCTTGGCCTCTCAAGGTGCTGGGATTACAGGAAATAGCACAGAACCCACCACAGCAATTTCTTAAAGTAAGACCACAATGCAGCCAAGCACAGTGGCTCACACCTGTAATCCCAGCACTTTGGGAGGCCAAGGAGGGCAGATCACTTGAGGTCAGGAGTTCAAAACAGCTTAGACAACATGGCAAAACCTCATCTCTACAAAAACTACAAAAAATTAGCCAGGCATACTGGCAGGCACCTGTAATCCCAGCTATTCAGGAGGCTGAGGCAGGAGAATCACTTGAACCCGCGAGTTGGAGGTTGCAGTGAGATGAGATTGTGCCAATGCGCTCCAGCCTGGGTGACAAGGTGAGAACCTGCCAAAAAAAAAAAAAAAAAACCAAAAAAAAACCCATAATGAAGTTTCCCACATGGATTGACGATTGACTCTTCCTTTCCTGATTTCTCTGTAGCATTCAATGCCATTTGATAGTATTTTATGCACAGTAGAGCTTCTTTCTCTCTTTTTGGGTGTTTTCTGGAGACAGTCTTGCTCTGTCACTGTCACCGAGGATGGAGTGCAGTGGCACAATCTCGGCTCACTGCAAACTTCCTTCCCGAATTCAAGTGATTCTCGTACTTTGGTGGCAGGTGCCTGTAGTCCCAGCTATTAGGGAGGCTGAGGCAGGAGAACCTGGGAGGCGGAGTTTGCAGTGAGCTGAGATCACACCACTGCACTCCAGCCTGAGCTACAAAGGGAGACTCCATCTCAAAAAAAAAAAAAAGAAACCACATTTTTTTGCTCATCTACAAAATGCAACTCTTCATCTGTTAAAATATCATCATCAGCCGGGCACGGTGGCTCACGCCTGTAATCCCAGCACTTTGGGAGGCCGAGGCGGGTGGATCATGAGGTCAGGAGTTCAAGACCAGCCTGGATAACAAGGCAAAACCCTGTCTGTACTAAAAATGCAAAAATTAGCCAGGCATGGTGGCATGCGCCTGTAATCCCAGCTACTTGGGAGGCTGAGGCAGGAGAATCGCTTGAACCCGGGAGGCGGAGGATGCAGTGAGCTGAGATCATGTCACTGCACTCTAGCCTGGGCAACAGAGCGAGACTCCATCTCAAAATAAACAAATAAATAAAATAAATAAATAAATAATAAAAAGAAAAACAAGAGATACCAGGACACATAACAAAATTATAATCACAGGGTGGGAAAAACCTCTCTCAGTAATTAACAGACTAAGCAAAGGGCAAAGTCACTACAAGTTTACAGGCAGTGGCTCATGCCTGTAATCCCAAAACTCTGGGAGGCCGAGGCAGGTGGATCACTTGAGCCAAGGAATTCAAGACCAGCCTGACTAACATAGCAAGACCCTCGAGATACCAAGGTATGACATTCATTGAAACGGTGAGTAGGCCAGGTGCAGTGGCTCATGCCTGTAATCCCAGCACTTTGGGAGGCCAAGGTGGGCGGCTCACTTGAGGTCAGGAGTTTGAGACCAGCCTGGCAAACATGATGAACATGCTGAAACCCTGTCTTTACTAAAAATACAAAAAAATTAGCTAGGCGTGGTGGCATGTGCCTGTAATCGCAGCTACTTGGGAGGCTGAGGCAGGAGAATCACTTGAATCCAGGAGGCGGAGGTTGCAGTGAGCCAAGATCGTGCCACTGCACTCCAGCCTGGGCAACACAGCGAGACTCTGTCTCAAAAAAAAAAATAAATAAATAAAATAAAAAATAAAAAAACAAAAATTAGCCAGGCGTGTTGGCAGGTGCCTGTAATCCCAGCTACCCAGGAGGCTAAGGCAGGAGAATCGCTTGAAACCTGGAGGTGGAGATTGCAGTCAGCCCAGACCACACCACTGCACCCCAGCCTGAGCGACAGGGCAAGTCTCAAAAAAATAAAAAATAAAAATATTAATTATATCTTAATAGACTAAAGAATAGAAGTAACAATTTTCTTAATAGCCCAGACATACCTGATTGGCCCCCTTCCCCATCTCCCACATATCACACCAACTTATTTCCAACTCTAAGAATGCATTTTACAATTAATCATTAGTTAATCAATTCCTCTGGACTTCTCAAAATCCTTCTGTTGAAATTCCATCACAGAGGTAGTTTTCAAATTGTGTTCCTCTGAGATAGTGCTCATGAGAGCCCCTTGTAGGCTACCCAAGAGGGTGATAAGAAAGCTGGCTGCTCCACATTCCAAGTCAAAGCAGCTCCATCTTTTTTTCTATGTTTTATACTTGTGCTCTGTGTATGATTTATTTGGAAACATAAAAATTTAAAAAACAAAACTAGCTGGGCACAGTGGCTCACGCCTATAATCCCAGCACTTTGGGAGGCTGAAGTGGGCGGATCACCAGAGGTCAGGAGTTCGAGACCAGTCTGACCAACATGGAGAACCCTTGTTTCTACTAAAAACACAAAATCAGCTGGGCGTGGTGGCGCATGCCTATAATCCCTGCTACTAGGGAGGCTGAGGCAGGAGAATTGCTTGAACCCAGGAGGCGGAGGTTATGGTGAGCTGAGATCCTGCCATTGTACTTCAGCCTGGGCAATAAGAGTGAAACTCTGTCTCAAAAAAAACAAAACAAACAAAAAAAACACTTAAATCCAAGGTCCTAGGATGAAAAATAAAGCCCTTCCTAATCTGACTCCTACCCTAGGAAAAACTATGACCAAGTTCCATCACACGATTTACACTTTGTAGTTCACATAAATCTTATGCTATCACACCTCCATGCACTTGATCATACTTTACAATCTAAGGCACGCTTCATTTTCCTATCTGGCTAATAGCTACTTATACTTCATAACTCAGCTCAAAGAAACATCTCTTGGGTCTACTTTACCCCTACTTAAGGCTCTGGATCCCCTTGTGCATACCTCTTTTTACTGCACTTGACACATTACATTGATATTAATACCACACTCTAAGAGTCTCAACAGCAGAGGCAATAATCTTATTTTCTATTCATTTTTTTTGTCTTATTCATGTTTTAAACTCCAGCACCTACTCAGTAATCAATAAAAATGTGCTAAACCAAACACTTTCAACAAAGCACTTTTTAATGTTCTTAAAAACAAACATTAAACAAGGATCACTTAAGCCGAGGAGGTCGAGGATGCAGTGAGCTGTGATCACTCCACTGCACTCTAGCTTCAGTGACAGGGTAAGACCCTGTCTCAACAACAAAACCTTTTAACTATAAAATCATTATAAATTTGTTTTTTATTTTTAGGGGTTTTTCTTAATCCTTATAAATTTAAAACATGTCTATTAAAGGCCGGGTGCGGTGGCTTACGCCTGTAATCCCAACACTTTGGCAGGCCGAGGCAGGTGGATCACCTAAGGTCGGGAGTTCAAGACCAGCCCGACCAACATGGAGAAACCCCATCTCTACTAAAAATACAAAATTAGCCAGGCTTGGTGGTGCATGCCTGTAATCCCAGCTACTCAGGAGGCTGAGGCAGGAGAATCACTTGAACCCGGGAGGCGGAGGTTGTGGTGAGCCGAGATCCCGCCATTGCACTCCAGCCTAGGCAACAACAGCAAAACTCCATCTCATAAATCAATCAATCAATCAATCAAATGTCTATTAAAATATTTTAATGCAGCCAGGAGTGGGGCTCACATCTATAATTCAAGCACTTTAGCAGGCCAAGGTGGGCAGATCACTTGAGGCCCAAGAGTTTGAGGCCAGCCTGGCCAACATGATGAAACTGTCTCTACTAAAAATACAAAAAAATTAGCCAGGCGTGGCAGCGCATGCCTGTAGTTCCAGCTACTCAGGAGGTTGTAGTATGAGAATCACTTGAACCCGGAAGGTGGAGGTTGCAGTGAGCCAAAACTGCTCCACTGCACACCAGCCTGGGCGACAGAGCAAGATTCTATCTCAAAAATAATAATAATAATTTAATGCAATTTTTTGCATTAACAGAATATGCAAAAAATTAAGCAAAAACCAAAAACAAATAGCTCTAAAATCTTAACAGAAATAAAGATTTCTTTAAAAGGCAATTTGAGAGAGTTGAGAGAGTAATCAGAGCAGAGAGAAAACTCTGGGCACTGGTTGGCACAAAGAGTTCCCATACATATAGGTTCTCACACATATAATTGTGAACATACAATCTAATACTGATATTTTTTTCTTTGAAAGACAGGGTATGAATGAATCTGTCACCCAGGCTGGAGTGCAGTGGCATGGTCATCGCTCACTCCAGCCTCAACCTCCCAGGCTCAAGCAATCCTTGTTGTTGTTGCTGTTTTTTTGTTTTGTTTTGTTTTTTGTTGTTTTTGGGAGAAAGAGTCTTGCTCTGTCACCCAGACTGGAGTGGAGTGGCACAATCTCGGCTCACTGCAACCTCTGCCTCCTGGGTTCAAGCGATTCTCCTGCCTCAGCCTCCCGAGCAGCTGGGAGACATGCACCACCACACCTGGCTAATTTTTGTATTTTTAGTAGAGAGGGGGTTTCACCAGGTTGGCAAGGCTGGTCTTGAACTCCTGACCTCAAGTGACCCACCCACCTCAGCCTCCCAAAGTGCTGGGATTACAGGCATTAGCCACTGTGCCAGGCCCAATCCTTGTTTGATGTTTGCCTTTCTCACTTTACTGAAGGATCCATGAGGGCAGACACAATGTCTATTCTGCTCATCACAGTATTCCCAGCACTTAAAAACACTGCACAGCTATACTCCAGCCTGGACAACAGAGACCCTGTCTCAAAAACAAAACAAAACAGTGCATAGCACATAATTAATAAATTAATGAGTAAGAAAGTAATTTGTGACACCTGTAATCAGTTCTTTCACACATAATGTAACAGAATCCTCACAATAATTCTAGTAGGGGGTATTGTTTTCATTTACCACTGAAACATCCAAAACAAAAAGTTTCCAATTAATTAATGAGCTCACTTCTGACTGATCCCCAAGAAATGGATATCTGCCACTCCTCCAGAACTCTAGAAGTTGGACCTGGAATCTGGACTACACCCTCGAGCTAAAGAATCCAAAGGCTTTTTGGCAAAATATAAAACAAAGTTGTTATAAGCTCTTCCAACACAATGTATCCCTTATATGAATGAGCCTTTCTAGGTTTTAACTGTACCAATAATCAGGAAAAGTAATGACATAACCAGATTTTACAGATTTCTGGTAAATGCAGATTATATACTAATTATACAGTTATAAACATCAATAGAACAATAATGGGGTCGGGTGTGGTGGTGTGTGCCTGTGGTACTAGCTACTCAGAAGGCTGAAGTGAGAGGATTGCTTAAGCACAGGAGTTCAGGACTGCAGTAAGCCATGACTGCCACGGCACTCTAGCCTGGGCCACAGAGCAAGATACTGTCTCTTTAAAAAGAAGAAAAAAAAAAAAAAGAATAGCCAGGCATGGTGGATCACACCTGTAATCCCAACACAGCACTATGGGATTCAAAAATTGCTTGAACCTGGGAGGTGGATGTTGCAGTGAGCCGAGATCGTGCCATTGCACTCCAGCCTAGGCAAAAAGCGTGAAACTCCATCTCAAAAAAAAAAAAGGAAGAAGAATCGAATATTTAGATCTTAGATTTTAATCCCTCAATTTCAAAACACTGAAGTCACTGAAATGTTACGATTTTTGCAATCGGGCCGGGCGCAGTGGCTAAGGCCTGCAATCCCAGCACTTTGGGAGGCCGAGGCAGGTAGATCACTTCAGGTCAGGAGTTCGAGACCAGCCTGGTCAACATGGTAAAACCCTGTCTCTACTAAAACTACAAAAATTAGCTGGGCATGTTGGCATGTGCCTATAATCCCAGCTACTCAGGAAACTGAGGCAGGAGAATCACTTGAACCCAGGAGGCAGAGGTTGCAGTGAGCCGAGATGGCGCCACTGCACTCCAACATGGGTGACAGGGCAAGACTCCATTTCAAAAAAAAAAAAAAGAATTTTTGCAATCGAATAATGTTTATATCACAAACATGCTTTGTTGTAAAATCGAAACAGGATGTATCTATCACTTGCCATCTGGAGAGTATTTTATTAATAAAACTACTCTAGATGTTACTATTTTCATACAAAGTATTATTTTCCATATGGCTTAAATGATATGACACTATTATACTCAAGGCTATAATATTATTTGCTTTTCCAAGAATAACCTCTGAAGAAGGCTTTCAAATACTTTATTTTTTTTAAGGCAGATTCTCACTCTGTCACTCAGGCTAATGTGCTGTGGCCTAATCACAGCTCACTGAAAATTATACCTATTGAGCTCAAGTGATCCTCCCACCTCAGCCCCACCAAGTCGCTGGGACTAATGACACATGCCACCAGCCTGGCTAAATTTAAAATTTTTTTTTTTAGAGATGAGGTTTTGCCATGTTGCCGAGGCTGGTTTCAAACTCAAGGGTTCAAGCGATCCTCCTGCACTGGCCTCACAGAGTGCTGAGATTACAGGTGTGAGCCACGTCCCCAGCCTCAAAAAGACTGTCTGTAACATATACGCATTCAAATTTTCTTCCTACTCACTGCCGAAATAAATTACGGAAAATTAAGCATAACCTTTTGTGACAACATTTGTCCAAATCTTCTGTGACCACATTTGCCCAAAACTAAATCAATGATATAATAAATACAATGGCTTAAAAGTCAGGCCGGGTGTAGTGGCTCACGCCTATAATCCCAGCACTTTGGGAGGCTGAGGCGAGTGGATCACGAGGTCAGGAGATCGAGACCATCTTGACTAACACGGTGAAACCCCGTCTCTACTAAAAATACAAAAAATTAGCCGGGCGTGGTGGCGGGTGCCTGTAGTCCTAGCTACTCGGGAGGCTGAGGCAGGAGAATGGCGTGAACCCAGGAGGCAGAGCTTGCAGTGGGCCAAGATAGCGCCACTGCACTCCAGCCTGGGTGACAGAGCGAGACTGTCCCAAAAAAAAAAAAAAAAAAAAGTCAGATAAGGCCAGGCACGGTGGCTCATACCTGTAATCCCAGCACTTTGGGAGGCCGAGGTGGGCAGATCACCTGAGCTCAGGAGTTTCATACCAGCCTGGCCAACATGGTGAAACTCCATCTCTACCAAAAATACAAAGAAAAATTAGCCGGGCGTTGTAGTGGGCACCTGTAATCCCAGCTACTCAGGAGGCTGAGGCAGAAGAATTGCTTGAACCCAGGAGGCAGGGGTTGCAGTGAGCCAAGATCACGCCATTGCACTCCAGCCTGGGTGACAAGAGCAAGACTCCGTGTCAAAAAAAAAAAATTCAGATAAGTATTTTGGGCAATGGTGCATTGATTATATAATAACTTCTGGCCGGGTGCAGTGGCTCACGCTTGTAATCCCAGCACTTGGGGAGGCCAAGGTGGGAGGCGATCATCTGAGGTTGGGAGTTCGAGACCAGCCTGGCCAACATGGCGAAGCCCTGTCTCTACTAAAACCACAAAAATTAGCTTGGCAAGGTGGCGTGCGCCTGTAATCTGTCTCGCTCTTGTTGCCCAGGCCAGAGTGCAGTGGCGCGATCTCGGCTCACTGCAACCTCCGCCTCCCGCGTTTAAGTGATTCTCTTGCCTCAGCATCCCAAGTAGCTGGGGCACCACCACGCCCTGCTAATTTTTGTATTTTTAATAAAGACGGGGTTTCACCATGTTGGCCAGGATGGTCTCGATCTCTTGACCTCGTGATCCACCCGCCTCGGACTCCCAAAGTGCTGGGATTACAGGCGTGAGCCACCGCGCCCGGCCTTTTTAACCTCTTTTCTGACGACCAAGGAGGAGAATAAAAAGGAATGCTGACCAGCAGGATAATGTGAATATGAAAATAACACTAAAATATCCTTCCCACTAACCAAAGCAAGTTGAATTAATGTTCATTTAACTACCAAATTACTGCTTCATCCATTAAAAGTTAACATATTAAATGTGCTTATGAAATAATATTTTGGCAGTCGCATTAGAACACATATGAATGACTATTGTTCTCAGAAGACCAATCAATAATAACCTGTGACAATCACACACGTCGATAAACTTTTTTCTGTATAAGAGCCAGATAGTAGGCCAGGTGCAGTGGCTCATGCCTGTAATCCCGGCACTTTGGGAGGCCCAGGCGGGCAGATATGTTAGGTCAAAAGTTCGAGACCAGCCTGACCAACATGGGGAAATCCCGTCTCTACTAAAAATACAAAATTAGCTGGGTGTGGTGGCACGTGCCTGTAACCCCAGCTACTCAGGAGGCTGAGGCAGGAGAATTGCTTGAACCCAGAAGGCAGAGGTTGCGGTGAGCCGAGATCGTGCCATTGCACTCCAGCCTCGGCAACAAGAGTGAAACTCCGTCGCAAAAAAAAAAAAAAAAAAAAAAAAGCCAGATAGTAAATATTTTAGATTCTGCAATGTAAGACATACACTCGAAATTACTCAATCCTCCCATCACAGCACAAAAGCAGCCAGACAACATATTAGTGGCAACATTCCAATAGACTTCTTGTAGTTACTGAAGTTTTAATTTCATATAATTCTTTTTTTTTTTTTTTTTTTTGAGACAGAGTCTAGCTCTTTCGCCAAGGCTGGAGTGCAGTGGCGCTATCTCGGCTCACTGTAAGCTCCGCCTCCCGGGTTCACGCCATTCTCCTGCCTCAGCCTCCCGAGTAGCTGGGACTACAGGCACCTGCCACCACGCCCGGCTAATTTTTTGTATTTTTAGTAGAGACAGGTTTTACTGTGTTAGCCAGGATGGTTTCGATCTCCTGACCTCGTGATCTGCCCACCTAGGCCTCCCAAAGTGATGGGATTACACGTGAGCCACCGCGCCCGGCTTAATTTAATTCTAACATGATACAAAATATTCTTTTTTTTTTTTTTTTTTTTTGAGACAGGGTCTCGCTCTGTTACCCAGGCTAGAGTACAGTGGCAGGATCTCAGCTCACTACAGCCTCAACATACCAGACTCAAGTGATCCTCCCACCTCAGCCTCCCAACTAGCAGGGACTACAAGGTATGTACCACCATGCCCAGCTAGTTTTTAAAAAAAATTTTTAGAGACAGGATCTCACTATGTTGCCTAGGCTGGTCTCCAAGTCCTGGGCCCAAGCCATCCTCCCACCTCAACCTCTCAAAATGCTGGGATTATATACGTGAACCACCATACCCGGCCTCAAAATATTTTCCTTTGGATTTTGCCTCAGCGATTCACAAATGTAAAAACTATTGTTGGCTCACTGGTTGTACAAAAACAGCTTTTAGCCATATTTGGACTGCAGGCTAGTTTGCCAAATCCTGCCATATATTACCACTAAGAAGTCATTTCTATGTATCATATGATAAAAACCATTCATGTTACTTCAAAGTCACACTTAGAAGCTGTTATCTACTAGTTTTATTTATTCATCAGATTCAGTCTTTATTTCATTTTACCTGATGAAAGCATCAAAGCCTAAGCACAATTATGTCTTTGAAGAAATAACTTTAAGACTGAGATGGAAAAAAAAAAGACAATTATAAAAAAACAAACTCCAAAAGTGTCTCTAACTCCCAACTCAAGAAATTCTCCCACCTTGGCCTCCCAAAGTGCTAGGATTATAATAGGCATGAACTACCACATCCAGGATCCAAAAATATTTTTAGCAAAGGCTGCCACAGTCAAAAGTGTTTATAGTGACATCAGAGGAAATGGAGTCGTCATGAACTTCAAGGGCCAGTATCTCCCCCAAAACAGTCAATAAATAGGGGAAAAACTATCACAAGCAATTATATAAACTAGGGAAACCCTTCAAAGGTATACAGCAAAGACTTAAGAAAGGAAGGGGCGGACTTCCTCTAAGAGTTAAGTATGGAATTACCATGTGACCCAGCTATTCTGCTGCTAAGCATATACCAAAAAGAACTGAAGGCAGAGACTCAAACAGATATTTGCACACCCATGTTCATAGCGACATTATTTACATTGTCGAAAAGGTGAAATCAACTCAAATGTCCATCACAAATGGATAATACAATGTGTTATTATTTACAAGATGGAAGATCATTCAACCATGAAAAAGAAGTCCTGATACACACTACAACATGCAAAAACCTTGACAGCATTATGCTAAGTGAAATACACCAGACACAAATAGACAAATACTGTATGACTCCACTTAAATAAAATACCTAGGATAGGCAAATAGAGTTACTACAAAATGGCCAAAATAGACAAAGGGAGGAAAGGAGAATCATTCAATAAGTACAGAGTTCTTGTTTGGGATGATGACCATCAACTGATGAATGGATAACAAAATGTGAAATATCCATACAATGAAGTATTATGTGGCCGCTGATACATGCTAAATAAGGATAAACCTGCAAAACATCATGCTAATAGAAAAAAACAGTAACAAAAGTCTACATATTATATAATTTCATTCATATGAGTCTCAAATAGAGGGATGTAGAGACAGGCAATAGTATAATGGTTACTTAGGGGCAGGGAAGTTAAGGTGTAGGAGGATGGTAACTAAAGCGTACAAGGTTTCCTTTTTTTTTTTTGGAGACGGAGTCTCGCTCTGTCGCCAGGCTGGAGTGCAGCGGCGTGATCTTGGCTCACTGCAATCTCTGCCCCCCTGGTTCAAGCGATTCTCCTTCCTCAGCCTCCTGAGTAGCTGGGACTACAGGCGCACTACTAATTTTTGTATTTTTATTAGAGACGGTTTCACCACGTTGGCCAGGACGGTCTCAATCTCTTGACCTTGTGATCTGTCCACCTCGGCCTCCCAAAGTCCTGGGATTACAGGCCTGAGCCACCACGCCCCGCCCGGTTTCCTTTTTTTTTTTTTTTAACATGGTAAATTATCAAGCAAGAAGGTTTCATTTTGAAGTGACAAAAATGTGCTAAAATTGGCTCCACTTTATGTTAATAAGCCAGATATAAACAGATAAATATTATATGATACTACTTATATTATCTAAAATAAAACAGGCAAATTCAAAGGGAGAGAAAGAATTTAGGTTACCAAGGAGTAGGAATAGGGAACTATTAGGAATTACTATTTAATGGATAGTTTATGTTGGGGATATTGAAAAACTTTGGTATAGAAAATGATTATATAACACTGTGAATACATGTAATGCACTGAATTGTACACTTCCAAATGGATGAATAGGAAGTCACGTACACTTTCCAAAAAAATAAAAAATGAAGTTGGCCAGGCGCAGTGGCTCACGCCTGTAATCCTAGCACTTCAGGAAGCTGAGGCAGGCGGATTGCCTGAGCTCAGGAGTTGGAGACCAGCCTGGGCAACATGGTGAAACCCCGTCTCTACTAAAATACAAAAAAAATTAGCCGGGCATGGTGGCATGCGCCTGTAGTCCCAGCTACTCAGGAGGCTGAGGCAGGAGAATTGCTTGAACCCGGGAGGCGGAGGTTGCAGTGAGCCGAGATCACGCCACTGCACTCCAGCCTGGGCGACAGAGCGAGACTCCGTCTCTAAAAAAAAAAATTAAATAAAATCATGCATACTTTACAAAAACAAAAAGGGTACTGACTCCCACCAAAAAAAGAAAAAAAAATAAATTATACACCACAGCTGGGCGCGGTGGCTCACACCTGTAATCCCAGCACTTTGGGAGGCGGAGGCGGGCAGATCACGAGGTCAGGAGATCAAGACCATCCTGGCTAACACGGTGAAACCCCATCTCTACTAAAAATACAAAAAAAAATTAGCCGGGCGTGGTGGCGGGCGCCTGTAGTCCCAGCTACTCGGGAGGCTGAGGCAGGAGAATGGCGTGAACCCGAGATGTGGAGCTTGCAGTGAGCAGAGATCGCGCCACTGCACTCCAGCCTGGGCGACAGAGCAAGACCCCGTCTCAAAAAAAATTATACACCACAATAATACAACAAAGCAAAATAACACATGATAACCTCAACAGACAGAAAAAACATTTTAAAAATCTAATACCTTTTCATGATAAAAACACTAAGCAAACTATTAGGTTGGTACAGAAGTAATTGCAGTTTTTGCACTGTTGGAATTTGCAATTTGATATTGGAATACATTCTTAAATAAATGTGGTTATGTTATATATCATTTTAATGGGCACTTTCTTGCTTTATGTTATTTTTGCTAAAGACTTATTACTTGTTTATTTTATGTTTATTTCACACTATGGAAATGATGCTAGACAAAAAGCAAATTTGAGCAATTTTCTTACTCAGGTTCAAAATGGGTCATAAAGCAGTGGAGACAATTCACAACATCAACAACACGTTTGCCCCAGGAACTTCAAACAAACGTACAGTGCAGTGGTGGTTCAAGAAGTTTTGCGAAGCAGGCGAGACCCTTGAAGATGAGGAGTAGTAGCCGGCCATGGGAAGTTGACAACGACCAATTGAGAGCAATCATCGAAGCTGATCCTATTACAACTTACCCAAGAAGTTGTCGAAGAGCTCAACGTCGACCATTCTACGGTCGTTCAGCATTTGAAGCAAATTGGAAAAGTGAAAAAGCTCAATAAGTGGGTGCCTCATCAGCTGAGCAAAAACTAAAAAAAAAGTCGTCGTTTACCATTTCTCAATCGGACTGTGGCATGCAATGAAAAGTGGATTTTATCTGACAACCAGCAATGACCAGCTCAGTGGATAGACTTAAGCAGCAGCTCCAAAGCACTTCCCAAACCAAACTTGCACCAAAAAAAGGTCATGGTCACTGCTTGGTGGTCTGCTGCTGGTTGATCCACTACAGCTTTCTGAATACCACTGCAGCTGAGAAGTATTCTCAGCAAATCAATGAGATGCAAGGAAAACTGCAGTGCCTGCAGCCGGCATTGGTCAACTAAAAGGGCCCAATTATTCATGACAATGCCCAACTACACGTTGCACAAACAATGCTTCAAAAGTTGAACAAATTAGGCTACGAAGTTTTGCCTCATCCTCCATATTGACCTGACCTCTCTGCAACTGACTACCACTTCTTCAAGCATCTCAACTACTTTTTTGCAGGAAAAACGCTTCCACAACCAGCAGGATGCAGAAAATGCTTTCCAAGACTCATCAAATCCTGAAGCATGGATTTTTACGCTACAGGTATAAACACACTGGTCGGGCATGGTGGCTCATGCCAGCAATCCCAGCACTTTGGGAGGCCAAGGCAGGTGGATCACCTGAGATCAGGAGTTCGAGACCAGCCTGACCAACATGGTGAAGCTCCATCTCTACTAAAAATACAAAAATGAGCTGGGCGTGGTGGTGGGCACCTGTAATCCCAGCTACTTGGGAGGGTGGGGCAGGAGAAATCACTTGAACCCGGGAGGCAGAGGCTGCAGTGAGCCAAGATCACGCCATTGCACTCCAGCCTGGGCGACAAAGTGAGACTCTGTCTCCGGAAAAAAGAAAAAAAAAAAAAAAAAGCAATGAACAATCCAAAAAGGAAACTGAGCAAAAAATCCCACTTAACAGGATCCAAAAGAAAGACACACAGATAGATGCTTCTCAAATTACAACAGGGCTAAGTCCCAACAAACCCATCATAAGTCAAAAATATCATAAGTTGAAAATGCATTCAATCCTCCAGTAAACCCTATCATAAAGTTAAAAAATCATTAAGTAAAACTGTGGGAATTAACAACTGTTTGTACCTATGAATAAATTTAACCTAGGCTGTGAAAAGTCTTATACAGTGAAAATTACAAAACATTATTGAAAGGAAATTAAAGACCTAAAGAAATGGGAAGACATCCCAAGTTCATTACTTGGAATTTTTAATACTGTGTTGTTAAAATGGCAATACTCCCTAAAATCATTTACAGATTCAGTGGAATCCCGATGAAAATTCCAATGGCCTATTTAGAGAAATGAAAAAGCTAACCTCAAATTCATATGGAACTCTATGCATGAGGCCCTAGGTTCATTCAATACCGGACACCTCCGCCAAAAAGTAAAAATCATATGCAACTGTAGGAAGCCTAAACAGCCAAAACAATACAGATGCTCCTCAACTCACAATGGGGTTACATCCTGATTAACCCATCATAAGTCGAAAATATCGTTAAGTTGAACCATTGTTAACTGCAGATGCTCGACTTACTATGTGCTTACGTCCAGATAAGCCCACCATGAAGTTCAAAAACTCTAAGTAAAACCATCGTATATCTGAGACCATCTGTACTGGAAAATAAAATAAGACTGAAGAACTCGCAGAAGCAGAATTCAGCTACAGTAATCAAAAACAGTGTGTACTAGTAGCCTACGAGTAGAAATATAGACCAATGGAATAAAATTAAAACTTCAGAAATAAAGCCTCACAAATATATTTTTTTTTTTTTGAGATAGAGTTTTGCTCTTGTTGCCCAGGCTGGAGTGCAATGGCGCGATCTCGGCTCACCGCAACCTCTGCCTCCCAGGTTCAAGCGATTCTCCTGCCTCAGCCTCCCAAGTAGCTGGGATTACAGGCATGCGCCACCAAGCCTGGCTAATTTTGTATTTTTAGTAGAAATGGGTTTCACCATGTTGGACAGACTGGTCTCAAACTCCTGACCTCAGGTGATCCACCCACCTCGGCCTCCCAAAGTGCTGGGATTACAGGTGTGAGCCACCACACCCGGCCATATTCAATAAATTTTTGACACGGAGAAAACAATAGTCAATGGAAAAAGAATAGCATTTCAAAGGAATGTTAAAAAATTAGTCTCTTTTGAATTCAATGGAAAAAGAATAATAGTCTCTTCAACACATGGTACTGAGAAAACTGGATCACCTAATAAACTTTGGCTTATGCCTCATTCAATATATAAAAAGTAACTCAAGGTCTGGCACAGCCTTGCCCAGTAGCTCACACCTGTAATCCCAGCACTTTGGGAGGCCGAGGTGGGCAGATCACTTGAGGTCAGGTGTTCAAGACCACCCTGGCCAAAATGCTGAAACCCCATCTCTACTAAAATTACACAAAACAATTAGCTGGGCATGGTGGCACGTGACTGTAACCCCAGCTACTCAGGAGGCTGAGGCAAGAGAATTGCTTGAACCCAGGAAGCAGCCATGTCAGTGAGCCGAGATCGCGCCACTACAGCCTGGGCGACAGAACGAGACTCCATCTCAGGGAAAAAAAAAAAAAAAAAGTAACTCAAAATGTTATCAAGGGCCTAAATATAAGAGCTAAAACTACAAAACTTTTATAAGAAAATTTAGGGATAAGGGTTCATAATTTCAGATCTGGCAAAGGATTCATAGATTGAACAACAAAACTGAGCAACAACAAAAAAAATAGGTGAAGTTAAAATCCCCCCACCCAAAAAAACTAAAACTTTTTTTTTTTTTCAGACAGCATCTCACTCTATTACCCAGGCTGGAGTGCAGTGGTACCATTTTCACTCACTGCAGCCTCCAGTCCAATTCAAGTGATCCTCCTGTCACAGCCTCCCCAGTAGCTCAGACTACAGGTGCATGCCACCACACTTGGCTAATTTTTGCATTTTTTGTAGAGACACGGTTTTTCCATGTTGCTCAGGGTGTTCTTGAACTCCTGAGCTCAAGAGATCCGCCCACCTCAGCCTCCCAAAGTGCTAGGATTATAGGCATAAGCCACCTTGCCCAACCCTAAAAGCAAAACTTTTAGAAGCAAAGAAAATTATCAAGAATGTGGGCTGGGAGGCCAGGCGCGGTGGCTCATGCCTGTAATCCCGGCACTTTGGGAGGCCAAGGTGGGCATATCATGAGGTCAGGAGTTCGAGACCATCCTGGCCAATATGGTGAAACCCCATCTCTTCTAAAAAAAAAATACAAAAATTAGCTGGGCGTGGCAGCACGTGCCTGTAATCCCAGCCACTCGGGAGGCTGAGGCAGGAGAATCGCTTGAACCCGGGAGGCGGAGGTTGCAATGAGCCGAGATTGCGCCACCGCACTCCAGCCTGGGTGACAGAGCGAGACTCCATCTCAAAAAAAAAAAAAAAAAGATTGTGGGCTGGGAGCAGCGATCATGCGCATAATCCCACCACTTCGGGAGGCCAAGGCTAGAAGGCTAGAAGATTGCTTGAGCCCAGCCTGGGCAACACAGTGGGAGCCTATGGCTATAACAACAACAACAACAACAACAGTGATTTGCCAGGCATGGTGGTGTACACCTGTAGTCCTGGTTACCTGGGAGGCTGAGGTGGGAGGTAAGGATTGCTTCAGCCCAGGGAAGTCGAGGCTGTAGTAAGCTATGATCACACCACTGTACTCTAGCCTGGGCAACAGAGTAAGACCTTGTCTCAAAAAGAGAAAGAAAAAGAATGTCAAAGAGCCTACAGAAACAGAATGGGGGAAAAAAATTTGCGAATCATATCCCTAGTTAAGGATTTAATATCCAAAATATATAAGGAATTCTTACAATTTAAAAAAAAGGCAAATTGAATTTTAAAGTAGACTAAGGGGACAGGCACGGTGGCTCATTTTGGGAGGCCAAGACAGGCAGATCACTTGAGCTCAGGAGTTCGAGACCAATCGGGCCAACATGGTGAAACCCTGTCTCTAATCAAAATACAAAAATTAGCAGGGTGTGGTGGCAAGCACCTGTAATCCCAGTTACAGAGGCTGAGGCAGAAGAATCACTTGAACCTGGAAGGTGGAGGCTGTAGTGAGCTGTGATCCCACCACTGTACTCCAGCCTGGGTGACAAAACAAGACTGTCTCAAAATAAATAGGATAAAATAAAATGGTTACAATGGTGAACTGTAACTTATTTAATTTTGAAGTTTTTATATTTTATTTTTTATTTTTTGTGGAGATGAGGTTTCCCTATGTTGACCAGGCTGGTCTCAAACTTCTGAGTTCAAGTGATCCTCCTGCCTTGGTCTCCCAAAATGCTGGAATTACAAGTGTAAGCCAATACAATCAGCCTTAAGTTATTTAAATTTTACCTCTTTTTTTTTTTTTTTAATGAGACAGAGTTTCGCTCTTCTCACCCAGGCTTCAATGCAGCGGCAGGATCTCGGCTCACTGTAACCTCCACCTCCTGGGTTCAAGCGATTCTCCTGCCTCAGCTTCCTGAGTAGCTGGGATTACAGGCACCTGCCACCATGCCGGTCTAATTTTTGTATTTTAGTAGAGATGGAGTTTCACCATATTGGCCAGGCTGGTCTTGAACTTCTGACCTCAGGTGATCTCCACCCACCTTGGCCTCCCAAAGTGCTGGAATTATGGGCGTGAGCCACCGTGCCTGGCCGTTTTACCTCAATTTTTAAAAAGTGGCTACCTTCCCAAGATAAAACTATTTTTTGAATGAAGCATTCATTTCCAGTATAATATACAGAAAGAACATTTTATTACTTCATAGATAAACTTACAATGTGATTGTTAATAAACGATTACAACTCAGAAGTCAGACAAGGAAATAAATCCTCATACTAGACAGACGTTACATTTTGAGCCCGGGCGCAGTGGCTCACACCTGTGATCCCAGCACTTTGGGAGGCCGAGGCAGGCGGATCACCTGAGGTCAGGAGTTAAAGACCAGCCTGGCCAACATGGTGAAACCCTGTCTCTACTAAAAATACAAAAATTAGCCAGGCATGGTGGCAGGCGCCTGTAATCCCAGCTACTCAGGAGGCTGAGGCAGGAGAACTGCTAGAACCCAGAAGGCAGAGGTTGCAGTGAGCGGGAAACCATGCCATTGCACTCCAGCTTGGGCAACAGAGCTAGACTCCATCTCAAAAAAAGAAAAAAAAAAAAAAAAGGTTACATTTTCCTGTGAAGAACAGGATGGGACAGATTTGCAGATGACACTTGCCTTTCTATTGATGTTTTTAGGCCAAATTTTTATGCAGACCAGAAATACAAGTAATCAAATTTCTAGCTCTCATCAGAGCGAGACCACGTCTCCCAAACAAAAAAAAAATTCCTCTCATTTTAACCTTCTATTTACAAAAAGACAAGAATCCACTAAAAATACATTATGTAGTTGTGTTCTTAGTACTTTGCAACAGGAGAGGCAGCCTAACAGAAAGTAAATGCTCTGAAAGCAGATGACCTTAGTTGGAATACCAGCACCATCACTTGGCTAACCACTTAAATCTCTCTAAGCTTCAATTTCCTAATGTGTAACCCTGAAATAATGGCTGTCTAGCAACTCAGGTGGGGTTCTTTTGAGGATTAAATGAGATAATACTTATTAGGTGCTTAGTACAGATCCTGGCTGCCTGGCATGTGGCACCGAATATATTAACTAAGAGAATTATGGATAGCAGCAGGTACCTACCATGTGCCATGTACTGAACTAGGAATTAATTTTCAAAACACCTTATAGATTAAAAACTAAGGTTGAGAGGTTCTTTGTCTAAGGCAAGCACGGGACTCAAGTATGGTCTCAAATGGAGGCCTGTCCAACTCCAAAGCCTACATTCTTTCTACAATCCCAAGCTGCCTTTCTACGTAAGAAATTTCATGGCTGGGCGCGGTGGCTCATGCCTGTAATCCCAGCACTTTGGGAGGCCAAGGTGGGTGGATCATGAGGTCAGGAGTTCAAGACCAGCCTGGCCAACATAGTGAAACCCCGTCTCTACTAAAAATACAAAAATTAGCCGGGCATGGTGATGCGTGCCTGTAGTCCCAGCTACTCGGGAGGCTGAGGCAGGAGAATCACTTGAACCCAGTAGGTGGACGTTGCAGTGAGCCGAGATCGTGCCACTGCATTCCAGACTTGGCAACAGAACGAGACTCCGTCTCAAAAAAAAAAAAAAAAAAGAGACATTTCATTAATCTTTATCACTTTTGGCATTATTTGTCAACTGAGGGAGAAATTAACTAATTATTTCACATTTACTTTTGAAGGCCAGCAGTAATCCCAGGAACTTGAGACCAACCTGGGCAACACAGGGAGACCCTGTCTCTTGAAAACATTTTTTAAAAATTAGCCAGGTATGGCTGAACATAGTGGCTCATGTCTGTAATCCCAGCACATTGGGAGGCCGAGGCAGGTAGATCACTTGAGCTCATGAATTCTAGACCAGCCTGGGCAAACATGGCAAAACCCCATCTCTAAAAAAAATAAAAAATTAGATGGGTGAGGTAGCGCCTGTGCCAGCTACTCAGGAGGCTGAGGTGGGAGGACTGCTTGAGCCCAGGAGGCAGTGAGCTTAGATCACACCACTGCAGTCCAGCCTGCATGACAGAGAGTAAGACCCAGCCTCAAAAAAGCTATAATGGGCAAGGCAAGGTAACTCATGCCTGTAATCCCAGCACTTTGGGAGGCCAAGGTGGGCGGATCGCTTGAGCTCACAAGTTTGAGACCAGCCTAGCCAATAGGGCGAAAGAAACCCTGTCTCTACAAAAGCATGGTGACACATGCCTGTGGTTCCAACTACTCATGAGGCAGAGGTGAGAGGATCGCTTGAATCTGGGATGCAGAGGTTGCAGTGAGCCGAGATCCTACCACTGAACTCCAGCCTGCGTGACAGAGTGAGACCCCCATCTCAAACAAACAAACAAACAAACTATAATGACTTCCAGCCTGGTTAATTTTAACAAATTCCTAGTAAAAATTTGGAAAGACCCGATGACATTTTTCAACTAGATTTTTTTTTTTTTTTAAGACCGAGTCTCACTCTCTTGCCCAACCTGGAGGGCAGTGTCCTGATCTCAGCTCACTGCAACCTCCACCTCCCGGGTTGAAGCAATTCTCATGCCTCAGCCTCCCGAGTAGCTGGGACTACAGCCATGAGCCACCACGCCCAACTAATTTTTGTGTTTTTAGTAGAGATGAGGTTTCCCCATGTTGGCCAGGCTAGTCTCGAACTCTGGATCTCAGGTGATCTGCCCACCTCAGCCTCCCAAAGTGCTGAAATTACAGGAGTGAGCCACAGCGCCCGGCCTCAATTAGATTCAATCTGTGCTTTTTCCCACTGAGTAGCAGCCAAAATTAAGAAACAGAAACAAGTGCCTAGAACAGTGGCTCACACCTGTAATCTCAGCACTTTGGCAGGCTGAGGCAGGTGGATCTGTTGAAACCAGGAGTTCAAGAACAGCCCGGCCAACATGGTGAAACCCCATCTCTACTAAAAATACAAATATTAGCCAGGCGTGGAGGAGGCTAGAGGAGGAGAATCACCTGAACCCAGGAGGCAGAGGTTGCAAGTGTGCCAAGATCATGCCACAGCACTCCAGGCTGGACTCTATCTCAAAAAACAAAAACAAAAAAAAAAAAAAAGAAAGAAAGAAACAGAAAACAGGTTTATAAATAACCCAATGTTCACAGGAAAAATTCAGGTAAAAAAAATATAATTTCAATCGTTTGCACAAAAAATAGAGGCCTAGATGGAAGGATTACTTGAGCCCAGGAGTTTGAGACCCAGCCTGGGCAAAATAGTAAGACCCTATCTCTATTTAGAAAAAAATTTTTTAAAAATAGGAGAATATAGGGAAAGGTCTATCTACACCTTGCCTACCCCTCCAATGTCATCCCTTCCTGCCCCACCCTCCCAGCCTAATCACGCCACACTGAATTTTTTTTTTTGAGACAGCATCTCACTCTGTCACCCAGGCTGGAGTGCATAATCAGAGCTCACTGCAGCCTGGAACTCCTGAGCTCAGATATCTTCCCACCTCAACCACCCAAGTAGCTGGGACCACAGGCACATGCCACTCCACCCAGCTAATTTATTTTTTTTGTAGAGGCCGGATCTCCCTATGTTCCCCAGGCTTGTCTCAAACTACTGGGCTCAAGCTAGACTCCCACCTCAGTCTCCTAAAGTGCTGCGATCACAGGCATCAGCCCCCATGCCTGGCCCATACTCAACTTTTTATTCTCCCAAAGCAGCAGCTTTGGGAGAATAAAATTACTCCTGTAATTTCAGCACTTTGGGAGGCTGAAGTGGGCAGATCACCTGAGGTCCAGAAGTTGAGACTAGCCTGGCCAACATGGGGAAACCTCATCTCTACTAAAAACACAAAAATTAGCTGGGCGTGGTGGCTCATGGCTGTAGTCCCAGCTACTTGGGAGGCTGAGGCATGAGAACTGCTTCAACCTGGGAAGGGGAGGTTGCAGTCCTTATAATCCTAGATCATGCTCCTCTCAAGCAAGCACATGTTGCCCTGCCTCAGGTACAATGATACTCCTATCTTACCAGTGCCTGGGACATAGTAGGCAACTCAAAAAAACAACTGAGTGACAAATAAATAAATAAAAGGGCTGTCCCAGTTAATGTTAGCAATTTTCAAAATGCAAAATTACCAAAAAAAGTCCTTGATAAACTCTCTTTTAATTGAGAACTTAAGAAGTAATTGCAGGCGGGGCACAGTGGCTCACTCCTGTAATCCCAACACTTTGGGAGGCTGAGGAAGGCAGGTCACTTGATGTCAGGAGTTCGAGACCAGCCTGGCCAACATGGTGAAAGCCCGTCACTACTAAAAATACAAAAAAATCAGCCGGGCGTCGTGGCACGTGCCTGTAACCCCAGCTACTCAAGAGGCTGACACAGGAGAATCTCTTGAACCTGGGAGGTGGAGGCTGCAGCGAGCCTAGAGTGTGGATTCCAGCCTGTGCGACAGAGTGAAACTCTGTCTCAAAAACAAAAAACAAAAGAAAAGAAAAAAAAACACATTAAAAAATGAAGTAAAGCTCATTCAAGGGTAATCTTGAAGACAGTATTACCCTGATACCAACACCAGACAAAGACATCACAAGAACACTGTACACTTAGCCGGGTACAGTAGCTCATGCCTGTAATCCCAGCACTTGGGAAGGCGGAGGCAGGCACATCACCTGAGGTCAGTAGTTCAAGATCAGCCTGGCCAACATGGTGAAACTCCATCTCTACAAAAACACAAAAAAATTATTCAGGCATGGTGGTGCACACCTGTGGTCCCAGGTACTCAGGAGGCTGAAGCAGGAGAATCGCTTGAGCCAGGGAGGCAGAGGTTGCAGTGAGCTAAGATCACACCGCTGCATTCCAGCCTGGGCCACAGAGCGAGACTCCATTTAAAAAAAAAAAAATATATTCGGCCGGGTGCAGTGGTTCACACCTGTAATCCCAGCACTTTGGGAGGCCGAGGCAGGCGGATCACCTGAGGTCAGGAGTTCGAGACCAGTCTCAACACGGAGAAACCCCATCTCTAACAAAAATACAAAATTAGCCAGGCGTGGTGGTATATGCCTGCAATCCCAGCTACTCGGGAGGCTGAGGCAGAATTGCTTGAACGTGGGAGGCGGAGGTTGCGGTTAGCCAAGATCGCACCATTGCACTCCAGCCTGGGCAACAAGAGCGAAACTCCGTCTCAAAAAAAAAAAAAAAAAAATTCAGACTTAGGCCAGACTTGGTGGCTCATGCATGTAATCTCAGCACTTTGGAAGGCTTAGGTGGGCGGTTCACCTGAGGTCAGGAGTTTTGAGACCAACCTAACCAATGCGGTGAAACCTCGTCTCTACTAAAAATACAAAAATTAACCAGGTGTGGTGTCACACACCTGTAATCCTAGCTACTTGGGAAGCTGAGGCACCGGAATCGCTTGAACCAGGGAGATGGGTTACAGGGAGCCAAGATACTGCCACCGCACTCCAGCCTGGACAACCGAGTGAGACTGTGTCTCAAAAACAAACAAACAAACAAAAAAAAAAACTGGAAAGAAAAAGGGAAAAAGAACAACTGCAGACTTAATTCATCCTTCATGAATTAAGACAAAAAATCCGGGCATGGTGGCGAGTGCCTGTAATCCCAGCAACTCGGGAGGCTGAGGTACAAGAATCACTTGAACCCCGGAGGCGGAGGCTGCCATAAGCCAAAATGGCACCACTGCACTCCTGCCTGGGTGACAGAGTGAGACTCCATCTCATTCATTCATTCATATATATATATATATATCATTCATATATATATATATATATATATATATAAAATCATTCATATATATGTGTGTATATATGTGTGTGTATATATATATGTGTGTATATATACACACACACACACACAAACTATATATAAAAAACTTTCCAAAGGTATTAAAGATCTAAATATTTAAGTTGGTGCAAAATAATTCCAGTTTTTGCCATTACTTCCTTTTTTTTTTTTTTGAGATGAAGTCTCACTTCATCACCTAGCCTGGAGTGCAGTGGTGCAATCTTGGCTCACTGCAGCCTCAGCTTCCTGGGCTCAAGCGATGCTACCACCTCAGTCGCCCTAGTAGCTGGGATTACAGGCTAAAATTAAAAAGACAGCAATAAATGTTGATGAGAATATTAAGAATTTAGAACCCACGCCCGGATGCAGTGGCTCATGCCTGTAATCTCGGCACTTTGGGAGGCCGAGGTGGGTGAATCACCTGAGGTCAGGAGTTCAAGACCAACCTGGCCAATGTGGTGAAACCCTGTCACTACCAAAAATACAAACATTAGCCAGGCGTGGTGGCGGGCGCCTGTAGTCCAAGCTACTTGGGAGGCTGAGGCAGAGAATTGCTTGAACCCGAGAGGCGGAGGCTGCAGTGAGCCAAGACCATGCCACTGCACTCCAGCCTGGGCTACAGAGGGAGACTCTGTTCTAAAAAAAGAAAGAAAGAAAGAAAGAAAAGAAAGAAAAGAAAGAAAAGAAAGAAAAGAAAGAAAGAAAGAAAGAAAGAAAGAAAGAAAGAAAGAAAGAAAGAAAGAAAGAAAGAAAGAAATTAGAACCCATATAGGCTAAAGTAGGACTGTAAAACGGTGCAACCACTATGTAAAACAGTCTGGCTGTTCCTCAAAATGCTAAACATAGAATGACCCTATGATCCGACAATACCACTTCTAGGTATTTTCCCAAGAGAACTGAAAACATATATTCACGCTAAAACTTTAATACAAATTTTCACAGTAGCACTGCCTGTAACAGCCACAAAGTGGAAGAAACAAAATGTCCGTCAAGTGATGAAAAGACAAACAAAAAGTGGCATCAGTACAAAGCAATATTCAGCAGTAAAATGGAATGAAGTATGCATACATACAACAACATAAATGGGCCTTAAAACATTATGCTAAGTTAAACAAGTCAGACACGAAAGGCCACAAATTATATGACTGTATTTGTATGAAACGCCTAGAATAGGCAAATACATAGAAACATGAATTAGATTAGTGGTTGTGAGGGGCTAGAGGAGACTTAATGGGAAATGACTGCTGGGAATGGGTTTTCTTTTGGGGTGATGAAAGGTTCTGGAATTAGACAGTGGTAACAGTTGTTCAACTCTACACCCTTTAAGTAGCTGCATTTTATTCTTTATTTTTGAGATACAGTTTCACCCTGTAGCCCAGGGACTGAGTGCAGACTCAGCGTCCTGAGTAGGTGGATTACAGGTGTATGCCACCACACCGGGCTAATTTTTGTATTTTTAGTAGAGATGGGGTTTCACCATGTTGGCCAGGCTGGTCTCAAACTCCCTGACCTCAAGTGATCTGCCCACCTCTACCTCCCAAAGTGCTGGGATTACAGGCATGAGCCACTGCGCCTGGCCAAAGAGGGTGAATTTTATCTTATGTGAATTATATATTTTTTTTTTCTTGGAGACGAAGTTTCGCTCTTGTTGCCCAGGCTGGAGTGCAACAGCACGATCTCCGCTCACCACAACCTCCACCTCTCAGGTTCAAGCAATTCTCCTACCTCAGCCTCCCGAGTAGCTGGGATTACAGCCATGCGCCACCACACCAGCTAATTTTGTATTTTTAGTAGAGACAAAGTTTCACCATGTTGGTCAGGCTGGTCTCAAACTCCTGACCTCAGGTGATCCATCCACCTCAGCCTCCAAAAGTGCTAGGATTACAGTTGTGAGCCACCGTACCCGGCCTATACTTTGATTTTTAAAATGCAATTAGTATACATTTATTTATTCACTTATTTATTTAGAGACGGAGTCTTGCTAATGCAGTTAGTATACATTTATTTATTTATTTATTTATTTAGAGACAGAGTCTCGCTCTGTCCTCCAGGCTGGAATGCCGTGGTGCGATCTCAGCTCAAAGCAACCTCTGCCTCCTGGGCACAAGCTATTCTCCTGCCTCAGCCTAAGACGGGGTTCCACCATGTTGGCCAGGCTGGTCTTGAACTCCTGACCTCAGAAGATCTGCCCGCCCCAGCCTCCCAAAGTGCTGGGATTACAGGTATGAGCCACCACCATGCCTTTAAATTTGCAACTATATAACCAATATACATTAAAACATGACATACTATAAAAAATTCTTATGTAAAATAGTATCAAGTATTAGCTTGATTGTTTTTCATGAAGAGGGGGTCTTGATATTATTGCCAAGGCAGGTCTTGAACTCCTGGGCTCAAGCAATCCACTTGCCTCAGCCACCCAAAGTCCTGGGACTAGAGGCCATGAGCCACCGCTCCAAGCCAAGTCTGATTTTTTAAGTTCATGCTTTAACAAAAATTCTCTTAAAAATCTAAAAAAGGCCCGGCGGAGGCTTACGCCTGTAATTCCAACACTTTGGGAGGCTGAGGAAGACAGATCACGAGGTCTAAAGAACGAGACCATCCTGGCCAACATGGTGAAAGCCTGTCTCTACAAAAAATACAAAAATTAGCTGGGCATAGTGGTATGCACCTGTAGTCCCAGCCACTCAGGAGGCTGAGGCAAGAGAATCACTTCAACCCAGGAGGCAGAGGTTGCAGTGAGCCAAGATCGCGCCACTGCACTCCAGCCTGGAGACAGAGCAAGACTCCATCTCAAAAAAAAAAAAAAAAAAAAAAAAATCTGAAAAGAGCGAGGGAAGAGTACGGAGGAATAAATATTTATTGGTCCCTAAATGCCCTAGAATACCTAGGGTATTCCATATTCGAAGGTATTTAGGGTCCAATAAATATTTATTATTCCTTTTCCCCCTCAACTACAATAATTAATCTTCATTAAGAATCCCCATGCAGGCCAGACGCAGTGGCTCACACCTGTAATCCCAGCACTTTGGGAGGCTGAGTCGGGCATATCACCTGAGGTCAGGAGTTCGAGACCAGCCTGGCCGACATGGTGAAACCTGTCTCTACCAAAATTACAAAAAATTACCTGGGTGTATTTTGTAAAAATACAAAAATTAGCGGACACCTGTAATCCCAGCTACTGGGGAAGCTGAGGCAGAAGAATTGCTTAACCCAGGAGGCAGAGGTTGCAGTGAACCGAGATTGTGTCATTGCACTCTAGCCTGGGCGACAGAGTGAGACTCTGGTCTCAAAAAATAAACAAATAAATAAATAAGAATAAAAATAAATTGCATATATACAGTTGTTCACTTTCAGAATGTATGAACAGGAAATATCTATACATTCATGCAAAATAAAACCATCCAGGTTTAAAAAAAAAAAAAAAAAAAAAGCCAGTGCGGTGGCTTATGCCTATAATCCCAGCACATTGGGAGGCCAAGGCAGGCAGATCACCTGAGGTCAGGAGTTCGAGACCAGCTTAGCCGACATGGTGAAATCCCATCTCTACTAAAAATACAAAAATTAGGTCACACCTAGTGGCTCACTCCTGTTATCCCAGCACTTTGGGAGGCCGAGGCGGGTGGATCACCTGAGCTCAGGAGTTCCAGACCAGCCTGACCAATACAGTGAAATACAAAAATTTCTACTGAAAATACAAAAATTAGGCCAGGCGCGGTGGCTAACGTCTATAATCCCAGCACTTTGGGAGGCCAAGGTGGGCGGATCCCCTGAGGTAGGGAGTTTGACACGAGCCTGACCAACATGGAGAAACCTAGTCTCTACTAAAATACAAAATTAGCCAAGCATGGTGGGGCATGCCTGTAGTCCCAGCTACTCGGGAGGCTGAGGCAGGAGAATCACTTGAACCCAGGAGGTACAGGTTGCAGTGAGCCGAGATCAAACCACTGCACTCCAACTTGGGCAACAGAACAAGACTCTGACTCAAAAAAAAAAAATTGCCGGGCACGGTGCCTCACGCCTGTAATCCCAGCACTTTGGGAGGCTGAGGTAGGTGGATAACCTGAGGTCAGGAGTTCGAGACCAGCCTGGCCAACATGGTGAAACCCCGTCGCTACTAAAAATACAAAAATTAGCCGAGCATGGTGGCAGGCGACTGTAATCCCAGCTACTCAGGTGGCTGAGGCAGGAGAATCACTTGAACCCAGGAGCTGGAGGTTGCAGTGAGCCGAGATCGCACCATTGCATTCCAGCTGGGGCGACAGAGGGAGACTCTGTCTCAAAAATAATAATAATAATAAAATTAAAAAGGGAAAGCTATGCTCTAAAATGGAAAGATTTCAACATACACCATTATGTGAAAAAGGAAGACCAAGTGTGCACAGTCCACTACCTTTCTCTTAAAAAAGGTGGTCTCCGGGAAAGCACAAGAATTGGAGGTGCGTTACCTGAGCAAACATGGCACAGAGGTCACTTCACTGGTTAACTTTTCATGTATTTTTTAATCATATATCTATTCAAAACTTCAATCTGAAAAATGATTGGGTCAGCTTAAAAGTAAAAACTAACGAATGTCTATTTAATATAATCCTTTTCCTTTAATTAAAACTATTAATTTCTTATTTGGTTGGATATGGTAGCCAGATTCCAAGCTGGCCCCCAATTATCCCAGCCTGATGGTATTCATGCCTTTGTGTAATCCCTTCCCTATCTGCTTGGTATGTGTGGCCAGCCAATAGAATACACATCATAAAAAGTTACTGCATCTTCCTGCTTGGTCTGTCCCTGTCTCTTGGATCACTCACTCCGGGAAAAGCCAGCTACCATACAGTAAGCAGGCCTATGGAGAAGTGCAAGTGGGAAAGAACAGGCCTCATACAAAGAGCTAGCATCCATATGAGTGAGCCGTCTTGGACAGGGATCCTACAGCCTTCAGAGACCGCAGCCCTGGCAGACATCTTGACTGTAAATTCATTAGAGAGACTGAGCCAGCACCATCCAGCTAAGCCACTCCATGATTCCTTACAAAATGTGAGATAATAAATATTTACTCCTCTAAGCTGCTACACTTAGGGGTCTGTTACGCAGAAGGGATAACTGATAGAGCAGAAAACATTCCATCCACAGCTCTAAAAACTTATGTTCTCAAAAAATTGTCGTAAAAACACTATAAAAATTATTAGCATAGTACTGGATATTAAAACCCCTATTAAATCAGTAAGACTGTAGTAGATATGAGTTCTTCAAATTTTTACAAGAGTCTAAAGTCAGTTTATCAAATATCTAGAAGCACAATAAGCTTTGAATCAATAAATCACTCGAAAACACAGATCTAGCTATATAATAAATGAAACTTTGACTATACAACTACAGAAAATCATTAACTAAAATGAAAACCAGATTGGGAAAATATTTATATCCAATGAGACAGAAATTTAATATGTATAAAACATTAAATCCAAAAAGATACATCAGCAAAGAATATAGACACAAAACTCCTAGAAAAAAATACAAACAGTAAACAAGTAGAAATCATTTTCATCAATAAAACTGTAGTAATTAAAGCAATCTTGTAGTAGCATTTTGCACCCACTTAATAAAAAAAAAAATCAGTGCTATCTAAGTGTGGGACAAATGCTAAATTCATATACTATTTAGAACTGTGTGTAAAATGGTAAAATCCTTTTGGAAAGCCATCCAGAAATAAGTACATCAAGAGCCAACTATATATATGATATTCCACTATCAGCAGTTAATCCTCAAGAAATAATTAAAAAAAAAAAAAACAGAAAAAGAAATTCCACAGACATTACTATGAAATTGATAAGGTATCTATCAAGACTTCACTTACAACTCTAACAATTATCTTCTCCTCCAAAGAACTAATTTCAGTGGTTTAATGACCTGCCCTAACACTTCTGCCCCAAAGCTCTGTTAGAAAAGCACTTTACGTACAATACCTAAATAAAAACATAATTTAAAAGGAAAAAAGAATAAATATAAAACCTGGGAAGGGCACGGTGGCTCACAGCTGTTATCCCAGCACTTTGGGAGGCTGAGGAGGGTGGATCACTTGAGGCCAGGAGTTTGAGACCAGCCTGTCCAACATGGTGAAACCCTGTCTCTACTAAAAATACAAAAATTACCCAGGCGTTGAGGGCACACGCCTATAATTTCAGCTACTCGGGAGGCTGAGGCACAAGAATCACTTGCCAAAAAAAAAAAAGAAATGGCCAGGCGCAGTGGCTCACGCCTGTAATCCCAGCACTTTGGGAAGCAGAGGCGGGCGGATCACAAGGTCAGGAGATCAAGACCATCCTGGCTAACATGGTGAAACCCCAGTGAAACCCCATCTCTACTAAAAATACAAAAAATTAGCCAGGCATGCTGGTGGGCATCTGTAGTCCCAGCTACTTGGGAGGCTGAGGCAGGAGAATGGCGTGAACCCGGGAGCCAGAGCTTGCAGTGAACCTGGCGACAGAGGGAGACTCCGTCTCAAAAAAAAAAAAAAAAAAAAAGAATCGCTTGAACCCAGGAGGCAGAAGTTGCAGTGAGCTGAGATCATGTCACTGCATTCGGGCCTGGATGAAAGTGAGATGCAGTTCCAAAAAAATAAATATAAATATATACAAACATACATACATACATACATACATACATACATACATACATACACACACACACAACCTGGCTCGGCACAGTGGCTCACACCTGTAATCCCAACACTTTGGGAGGCCGAGGCAGGAGGACCACTTGAACCCAAGAATTAAAGACTAGCCTAGGGAACATAGTGCCATCCCATCCCTACAAAAAAATACAAAAATTAGCTGGGCATGGCCAGGTGCAGTGGCTCACACCTGTAATCCCAGCACTTTGGGAGGCCAAGGCAGGCGGATCATGAGGTCAGGAGAACGAGACTATCCTGGCTAACATGGTGAAACCCCGTCTCTACTAAAAATACAAAAAATTAGCCGGGTGTGGTGGCGGGCACCTGTGGTCCCAGTTACTCGGGAGGCTGAGGCAGGAGAATGGCGTGAACCCGGGAGGCGGAGCTTTCAGTGAGCCGAGATGGCACCACTGCACTCCAGCCTGGGCGATGGGGCAAGACTGTCTCAAAAAACAAAACAAAAAAAATTAGCTAGGTATGAAGGCACACACCTGTAGTCCCAGCCTACTCAAAGGGGCAGAGGTGGGGGTATTGCTTGAGACTGGGAGGTTGAGGCTGCAGTGAGTTGTGACTGCATCACTGCACTCCAGCCTAGCCAACAGAGTGAGACCCTGTCTCAAAAGATAAAAAAAAAAAAAAGGACACGCACGGTGGCTCATGCCTGTAATCCCAGCACTTTGGGAAGCCGAGGCGGGCAGATCACCAGAGGTTGGGAGTCCGAGACAAGTCTGACCAACATGGAGAAATCCCATCTCTACTAAAAATACAAAAATTAGCCGGGCGTGGTGGCACATGCCTGTAATCCCAGCTAGTCGGGAGGCTGAGGTAGGTGAATCGCTTGAACCCGGGAGGCAGAAGTTGCAGGGAGCCGAGACTGTGCCATTGCACTCCAGCCTGGGCAACAAGAGCGAAACTCCGTCTCAAAAATAAAAATAAAAATAAAAAAGACTGAGTCTCGCTGTGTTGTCCAGGCTGGAGTGCAATGGCACAATCTTGGCTCACTGCAACCTCCGTCTCCTGGGTTCAATTCAATTCTGGATTCTCCTGCCTCAGCCTCCCGAGTAGCTGGGACTACAGGCACCCGCCATCACACCTGGCTAATTTTTGTATTTTTAGTAGATAGGGGTTTGGCCACGTTAGCCAGGCTGGTCTCGACTCCTGGCTTCAGGTGATCCTCCCGCCTAGGCCTCCCAAAGTGCTGGGATTATAGGCGTGAGCCACCGTGCCCTGCTGGCAATTCTTAATATATTGTGACACGATGGAAGTGCTGTTCCTCAATATACTAATTATAAAAACAGACTTAACGTATTTTCAGTTGAACCAACTATAACGTTAAAGAAATGCCTTTGGTATATACAACTATAAATTACCAATTTACAATCATATTTTTAAAAAGAAATGCTTTTGAATGTAAAATTCCAATGACAAATTAGTGTAGCATTAATGTCTGTTATTTTCACTGGGTATAGACACAACTTGCACATCACCTACTTTCACCAGGGAGACCCAACAACTCCAATTACAGCATCAAGAGAAATCAGAGATAACACAGGAAATATAGCCTCATAATTTACAAAGAAAGACTACCTTCAGACTCACTCTGGTATGTGAGGGAATATCACATAACCAGTAATTACTTTTAATTTAATCTAATGTGAAAATATAATTGTTCATTCTCTAAAATAGATTTTATCTTTCCAGCAATTGCTAGAAGAGCATTATGGTATTTTATATAAGGTCACTAGCAATGTGAAAGGAACTTTAGAAGTATTAATAATAACAGCAAAAAACACTAAAATTTGTGTTTTACTAAGGGAAAATCACAAGTATGTATGATTTTATTGGTTTCCTAACAAATTATCTAAAAATGGAAGCAACGTTTTCAAAGTATGGTTTGTGGCAGGGCGCGGTGGCTCACGACTGTAATCCCAGCACTTTGGGAGGCCAAGGCGGTGGATTCCCTGAACTCAGGAGTTTGAGACCAGAACGGACAACACAGTGAAAACCTGTCTCTACAAAAATACAAAAAAGCCAGGCGTCGTGGCGGGTGCCTGTAATCCCAGCTACACAGGAGGCTGAGGCAGGAGAATCGCTTGAGCTCGGGAGGCGGAGGTTGCAGTGAGCCGAGATCGTGCCATTGCATTCCAGCTTGCGTGACAGAGCGAGACTCCATCTCAAAAAAATAAATAAATAAATAAAAATTAAAAAATACAAATATAAAAAATTAGCCAGGCATGGTGGGACACACCTGTAGTCCTAACTACTCGGGAGGCTGAGGCAGGAGAATCACTTGAACTTGGGAGGCAGAGGTTGCAGTGTGCCAAGATCACGCAATTGCACTCTAGCCTGGGTGACAGAGTAAGACTGTCTCAAAAAAAGAAAAGAAATAAAGAAAGTATGGTTTGTATATAGGCATTTAAAAGAATGTGGATCATCTAGAACAGGGGTCCCCAACGCCCAGGCCACAGAATGGTACTGGTCCTCTCAGCCTGTTAGGAACCGGGCTGCATAGCAGGAGGTGAACAGCAGACAAGGGAGCATTATCGCCTGAGCTCCCACTCCTGTCACATCAGGGGTGGCATTAGATTCTCAGAGGATCATGAACCCTATTGTGAACTGCAAATGCAAGGGATCTAGGTTGCGCGCTTCTTATGAGATTCTAACTAATGCGTGATAATCTAAGGTGGAAAAGTTTCATCCCCAAACCATCCCACTCCCACCTGTGGAAAAACTGTTTCCCAGGAATTTGGTCCCTGGTGCCAAAAAGGCTGGGGACTGCTAATCTAGACTACAGAAAAAACTCTCTCTGCATGGAATCCACCATACAAAACTGTAATCCCAGCACTTTGGGAGGCCGAGGTGGGCAGCTCACCTGAGGTCAGGAGTTCAAGAACAGCCTGGCCAACGTGGTGAAACCCCATGTCTACTAAAAAATACAAAAATTAGCCAGGCGTGGTGATGCACACCTATAATCCCAGCTACTCCAGAGGCTGACGCACGAGAATTGCTTGAACTCAGCAGGTGGAGGTTGCAGTGAACCGAGATGGCATCACTGCACTCCAGTCTGGGCAACAAGAGCAACATTCCGTCTCAAAAAAAAAAACAAAACATAATGAGATGAGACATTACTACATATCTACACGAATGGCTAAAATTAAAATAGTGACCACACCAAATGCTGGTGAGGATGCATAGAAACTGAAGCACTCGGCCAGGTGCAATGGCTCATGCCTGAAATCCCAGGACTTTGGGAAGCCAAGATGGGTGGATTACCTGAGGTCAGGAGTTCGAGACCAGCCTGGCCAACATGGTGAAACCCTATCTCTACTAAAAATACAAAAAATTAGCCAGGCATGGTGCACATGCCTGTAATCCCAGCTACTTGGGAGGCTGATGCAGGAGAATCACTTGAAGCCGGGAAGCAGAGGTTGCAGTGAGCCGAGATCGTGCCACTGCACTTCAGCCTGGGCAACAGGGCGAGACTCCGTCTCAAAAAACAAAAAATAAAAGAAACTGGATCACTCATATACTGCTAGTGAGAATGTAAATGGTACAGACACTAGGGAAAACAGCTTGGTAGTTTCTTATAAAACTGAACATTGGGCCAGGCGTGGTGGCTCACACCTGTAATCCCAGCACTTCGGGAGGCCGAGGTGGGTGGATCACCTGAGGTCAGGAGTTCGAGACCAGCCTGACCCAACATGGTGAAACCCCGTCTCTACTAAAAATAAAAAAATTAGCCTGGTGTGGTGGTGTGCACCTGTGGTCCCAGCTACTCAGGAGCCTGAGGCGGGATAATCGCTTGAATCCGGGAGGCAGAGGTTGCAGTGAGCCAGGATCGCGCCACTGCCCTCCAGCCTGGGTGACAGAGAGAGATTGTCTCAAAAAAACAAAAAAACAACTGAACATTGGCGGGGCGCCGTGGCTCACGCCTGTAATCCCAGCACTTTGGGAGGCTGAGGAGGGTGGATCACCTGGGGTCAAGAGTTTGGGACCAGCCTGGCAAACACAGTGAAACCCCATCTCTACTAAAAATACAAAAATGAGCTGGGTGTGGTGGTTGACACCTATAATCCCAGCTACATGCGAGGCTGAGAAAGGACAATCGCTTGAACCCAGGAGGCAGAGGTTGCAGCGAGCCAAGATCGCGCAATTGCACTCCAGCCTGGGCAACAAGATCGAAACTCCCTCTCAGGAAAAAAAAAAAACTTAACATGCCATTACCATATAATACTGCAATTGTTCTACTGGTATTTATCCCAGAGAAGTGAAAACTTACAGTCACACAAAACCCCATAAATGAACATAAATAGTACTTTTACCTTAATTACCAAAAGCTAGCATTGCCCCAGATGTCCTTCAACAGGTGAACGGTCAAGCAAACCATGGTATATTTGTATCATGGAATATTACTTAGTGATAAAAAGGAAAAAACTAGGGCCGTGCGCAGTGGCTCACACCTGTAATCCCAGCACTTTGGGAGGCCAATGCAGGTAGATCACTTGAGGCCAGGAGTTCAAGACTACCCTGACCAACATGGTGAAACCCCATCTCTACTAAAAATACAAAAATTAGCTGGGTGTGGTGGCAGGGGCCTATAATCCCAACTGCTCAGGAGGCTGAGGCAGGAGAATCGCTTGAACCTGGGAGGCGGAGGTTGCAGTGAGCCAAGATCATGCCATTGCACTCCAGCCTGGTCCACAAGAGTGAAACTCCGTCTCAAAAAAAAAACAAACAAAAAAAACAACTATTGATTTAGTCAACAACTTAGATGAATCCCCTGGAAATTATGCTAAGGGAAAAAAAGACAATCCCAAAAGGCTGCATACTGTATGACTCATGTTTATCTAACATTTGTGAAATGACAAAACTTCAGGAAAAAAAGTTTAGTAACTGACAAAGGCTAGAGATGGAGGGGCTAGGCCAGGCATGGTGGCTCCTGCCTGTAATCCCAGCCATTTGGGAGGCCAAGGCAGGCGGATTGCTTGAGCTCACGAGTTCAAGACGAGCTTGAGCAACATGGTAAAACCCCATCTCTACAAAAACATACAAAAATTAGTGGGGCATGGTGGCAAGTGCCTGTAGTCGCAGCTAATCAGGAGGCTGAGGTGGGAGGATCGCTTAAGCCTGGGACACAGAGGGTGCAGTGAGCTGAGATGCAACTACTGCACTCCAGCCTGGGCGGCAGAGCAAGACGCTGTCACATACGAAAAAGAGATGGAAGGTTGCCAAGAAGACGATGGATGTAGTTTTAAAACGGCTGGCAACAGCAGGGATCCTTATGGTATTAGAAATGTTTAGCAACTTTTTTTTTTTTTTTTGAGACAGAGACATACTCTGTCACCCAGGCTAGAGTGCAGCGGCGCGATCTCAGCTCACTGCAACTTCCGCCTCCTGGGTTCAAGCGATTCTCCAACCTCAGCCTCCCGAGTAGCTAGGATTACAGGCATGACCCACCATATCCAGCTAATTTTTTTTTTATTTTTAGTAGACACGGGGTTTCACCATGTTGGCCAGACTGGTCTCGAACTACTGACCTCAGGTGATCCAGCCGCCTCAGCCTCCCAAAGTGCTGGGATTACAGGCATGAGCCACTGCACCCAGCGAACATTTAGAAAGTTGACGGGAGTCATGGATATACTAACCTATACAGGTGATAAAAACAAAGAACTTAATATACACACAATGAAAGACTACCAGTAAAACTGGGGACATCCAGAATGTCCTGATAGAAATACAGATTTCTTTTAAGGAAAAAGATAAAATTTAAGGACATCTGAATAAGATGGATAAATTACATGAACGTCAATGCCTAAGTAAGACTGGCTGGACGCGGTGGCTCAAGCCTGTAATCCCAACACTTTGGGAGGCTGAGGCGGGCGGATCACAAGGTCGGGAGATTGAGACCACCCTGGATAACACGGTGAAACACCGTCTCTACTAAAAATACAAAAACTAGCTGGGCGTCATAGCACACGCCTGTAGTCCCAGCTACTCAGGAGGCTGAGGCAGGAGAATTGCTTGAACCCAGGAGGTGGAGGTTGCAGTGAGCCGAGATTGAGCCACTGCACTCTAGCCTGGGCATCAGATGGAGACTCCGACTCAAAAAAAAAAAAAAAAAACGATTGGTGAAGTACATCAACATCAATATTCTGGTTGTGTGGTATTAGATATTTTTTGCAAAATATTACCATTGCAAAACCAGGCAAAATATACAAGGGACCTCTCTGTATTCTTTTTTTTTTTTAAGAGACAGGGTCACCCAGGCTGGAGTGCAGTGGCACAGTCAGTGTTCACTGTAGCCTCAAACTCCTGGGCTCAAGCAATCCTCCAACCTCAGCCTTCCAAAACGCTGGGATTACAGGCATAAGTCACTGTGCCTAGCCCATGGAATTTCCTGATTTTTTTTTTTTTTTTTTGAGATGGAGTTTCGCTCTTCTAGCCCAGGCTGGAGTGCAATGGCACGATCTTGGCTCACTACAACCTCCGCCTCCCGGGTTCAAGTGATTCTTCTGCCTCAGCCTCCCAAGTAGCTGGGATTACAAGCACGCACCATCACGCCTGGCTAATTTTGTATTTTTAGTAGAGACGGGGTTTCTCCATGTTGGTCAGGCTGGTCTTGGACTCCCAACCTCAGGTGATCCACCTCAGCCTCCCAAAGTGCTGGGATTACAGGCGTGAGCCACCACGCCCAGCCTGGCCATGGAATTTGTTACAACTGCATGTGAATCAACATTTATCTAAACAAAAATTTCATAATAAGAAAATATTCGCGGCTGAGGTGGCTCATGCAGAGTAGGAGAATTGCCTGAAGCCAGAAATTCAAGACCAGCCTGGGCAACATAGCAAGACCCTGTCTCTACCAAATAATTTTTTCTTTAATTAGCCAGGCGTGGTGGCATGGGCCTGTAGTCCCAACTACTCATGAGGCTAAAGTAGGAGAATCACTTTAACACAGGAGGTCTAAACTGCAGTGAGTTGTGATCATACTACTAGACTCCAGCCTGAGCAACAGAGCGAGACACTGTCCAAAAAAAAAAAAAAAATCTTGTTACATGTTACATGCTCATATGAAAAGATGTCTTAACATATTAACCAAAAGGGAAAAAAAGGGGTGTGTAGAGAGAAGAGACAATTTCTAATAGAATATTAAGAGTGTAAATGAGGGAGTATATGAAAACTGACAAAAATCAAGAGATTTTTATATTCCATTTTTAAGTTTGACTTTTTTTTTTTTTTTTTTGAGACAAAGTCTCACTCTGTCACCCAGGCTGGAGTGCAGTGGCACAATCCCAGCTTACTGCAACCTCTGCCTCCTGGGTTCAAGCGATCCTCCTGCATCAGCCTCCTGAGTAGCTGGGACTACAGGCACGTGCCACCACACCCAGCTAATTTTTTTTTGTATTTTCAGTAGAGACAGGGTTTCACTACGTTGGCCAGGCTGGTCTTGAACTCCTGACCTCAGATAATCCACCCCCTCAGCCTCCCAAAGTGCTGGGATTATAGATGTGAACCACCGCGCCCGGCCAAGTATTACTTTTCTAAATTCAAAAAGGTTCATAGGAATTGCTTTAAAAGGCTACAATTGAGATTATTTAAATTAGATTCAAAAGTAACTGTTCAATTGTTATTATCCTACCACTAAATTTCAGAGACTGGATCTCCTTTCAATGGGCTCCCCTGAAAACCAGGAAGAATAAATTAAACATTTCTATCTAGAACAAAGGACAACCTGCAAAAAGCAACAATGTAATAAACTTACACCACTTAACAGTTGGAATACAGAAAGCTATTGATCCTATTGCACAAATTAAATTATTCTGATTATCAAACAAAAATACAACAAATGCTCCTGATTACTAATTAAAAATGGAAACTGTCAACAGCAGTTAATGTCTTTATCTTACTAATCAAATAAGTTTGGAAAAATAGAGAAAAAAAAAAACAAAAACTTAGCCAAATGCAGTGGCTCATTCCCGTAATCCCAATACGTTGGAAGGCTGAGGGCGGTGGATCACTTGGGCCCAGCCAGGAGCCAAGATCAGGCCACTGCACTCTAGCCTGGGAAACAGTACAAGACCCTGTCTCAGAAAGAAAAAAAAAAAAACTCAAAAATATCTTTCTTGAAATTCACAACTCTTTCAAATATACATTTGACTCTTGGCATGCAGCAGTAGGCATCACTTACTGCACACCTACTTCAGAACCAGCAGTGTATTACTTCATATAAATTATCTTGTATCATGGCCAGGAGAGATGGCTCACACCTGTAATCCTAGCAACTTTGGGAGGCCGAGGTGGGTCGATCACCTGAGGTCAGGAGTTCGACCAGCCTGGCCAACGTGGTGAACCCCATCTCTACTAAAAACACAAAATTAGTCGGGCATGGTGGCGCATGCCTATAATCCAAGCTACTTGGGAGGCTGAGGCAGGAGAATCAACTTGAACCCATGAGGTGGAGGTTGCAGTGAGCCAAGATCGTGCCATTTTGCACTCCAGCCTGGGCGATAGAGACTCTGTCTCAAAAAAAAAAAAAAAAAAAAAGTTATCTTGTATCATAGACTTAACAACCCTCCAATGAAGGTACTAGCCGTAATTTAGAACTGAGGAAATGGGCCTTAGAGACATTAAGGGACTTCTTCCAGTAAACACAGTGCAGTATGCAGTCAGAGATGTCCAACCTAAAACCATTATAATTTATTATCCTTGGCCAGGCTCAGTGGCTCATGCCTGTAATCCCAGCACTTTGGGAGGCTGAGGCAGGCGGACCATAAGGTCAGGAGTTCAAGACCAGCTTAACCAACGTGGTGAAACCCCATCTCTTCTAAAAATACAAAAATTAGCCAGGCGTGGTGGCATGCACCTGTAATCCCAGCTACTCAGGAGGCTGAGGCAGGAGAATTGCTTGAACACGGCAGACGGAGATTGCAGTGAGCCAAGATCGCACCACTGCCCTCGAACCTGTGCAACAGAGCAAGACTCCATCTCAAAAAAAAAAATTATTATCCTTAATTAAAAGAGTGAAAGTTGAGAATGGAGAAAAAAATTAATGCATGAGATATTAGGAAGCTCAAATTCAAAAAGCCTTAGAAATTGAGTACATGAGGAAATGAAAAAAGAAAAAAAACCAACCAACCTGTAAAGTTTTAGTAATTTGGTCCATTGAAAATGATGAAGGCTGACAATCCACTTATCACCTTTCTAAAATGTACTCACTCCCCTTCCCAAACTGTACCTCTGTAATAGCATCATTCATTCATTAACTCGATATGTCCCCAGTAAAAAGAAGGCACCATGCTATACACTGTTAAGATGCAAAGATGAATCAGACCAGGAGAATAAAGGCATGAGCAAGGGGAGAGTATGGAGCAAGGGACCATTAAGAGTTCAGTTTGGCTGAACTCAGGGTACACAAGGCTCTAGCATCAGATTTGGAAAGGTCAGGACAGGATCCTATCAAAAAGGACACTGAATTTGGGCTTTATTTGTTCAGAAAATGAGGTGTGAGGCATTTAGGTTACAAATTTAAGTAGAGACCCAGTATTTCTCATTTTGGAAGTAGGAAGTAATTTTACACAGGATAGACTGGAAGGAAAGACTAAATGAAGACCAACAATAAAGATGTCATAGAAAAATGAATAAAGGGAGAAACTGAGGGCATCTGTAAAATTTTGTAATAGTAAAAACATTCAACTATACAGCACGGCATATAAGCCTATCTTTATACCTTTATCTCCTGACAACCCCACTCCTCCCAGATAGCTAGCCAAGGATTTCTGGCCACTTGCATATGCTATTCCCTCTTACTGGTATGTCTCTGCTTAAACTATAAATAACCACTCTGTGAAGTCCTCCCTGATTATTCTAGGCATGCCTTCCTCCACACTCCCAAAGTACTGCATACATAACACCTACCAGACCACTTAGTATTCTGTATTGTCATTGTTTACACTAGTTTTTGCCACACAGTGAAGTTCCTTAAAAGCAAACTATCTCTTTCCTTTTTTTAATTTTTTTATTTTTTATTATACTGGCAGTGCCTGGCTCAAGAGGTACTCAAATGTATTTTAATCATTTAAATGATTGACTGCAAGGTTTCCAGCTTTGAGATGAATAGGATAATGATGTCATCATGAACACAGAAGTAAATGCGTGTTTGGCAATAAAAGAGATGGGTTCAAAATGAAAATAATAGGCTGGGCGCAGTGGCTCATGCCTGTAATCCCAGCACTTTGGGAAGCAGAGGCAGGCGTATCACTTGAGGTCAGGAGTTTGAGACCAGCATGGCCAACATGGCAAAACCCTGTCTCTACTAAAAATACAAAAATTAGCCAGGCATGGTGGTGGGCGCCTGTAGTCCCAGCTACTTAGGAGGCTGAGGCAGGAGAATCACTTGAACCCAGAAGGCAGAGGTTGCAGTGAGCCGAGATGGCACCACTGCACTACAGCCTGGGTGACAGAGAAAGACCCTGTCCAAAGGAAAAATAAAAAAGGAAATAATATTACATTTTAGGTGAATATAACACAAGGTAGAGGAGCAGCTTAGTTGACAAGTAGAATTTGTTGGTTTGAAGTCAGTTCAGAAGAGAGTTTCATAGAGTGGAGTAGCAGCAGAATCAATGAAAGTGAATGAGACTGCAGAGAAAGAGGAAGAAAAAGAGAACAAGGACGCAAAAAAGGACTGTTTGAGAAGTGGTATGCAGGTCGTGGTGGCTCACACCTGTAATTCCAGCACTTTGAAAGACTGAAGCAGGTGGATCACTTGAGGTTAGGGGTTCGAGACCAGCCTGGCCAACATGGTGAAACCTCTCTCTGCTAAAAATACAAAAATTAGCCAAGCATGGTGGAGGGCGCCTGCAATCCCAGCTACTTGGGAGGCTGAGGCACAAGAATCTCTTGAACCCAGGAGATGGAGGTTGCCGTGGGCTAAGGTCACACCACTGCACTCCAGCCTGGGCAACAGAGCAAGAATTCATCTTAAAAAAAAAAAAAAAAAAAAAAAAAAAAAGGCTGCGCGCGGTGGCTCACGCCTGTAATCCCAGCACTTTGGGAGGCCAAGGCGGGTGGATCACGAGGTCAGGAGTTCAAGACCAGCCTGGCCAAGATGGTGAAACCCCGTCTCTACTAAAAATATAAAAATTAGCTGGTTGCGGTGGCGGGCGCCTGTAATCCCAGCTACTCCAGAGGCTGAGGCAGAGAATTGCTTGAACCTGGGAGGCAGAGGTTGCAGTGAGCCGAGATCGCCCCACTGCACTCCAGCCTGGGTGACAGAGTGAGACTCTGTCTCAAAACAAAAACAAAAACAAACAAAAAAGGTCACCCAGCCAGGAGGGAATCGGAGAGAGAGCAGAACCTCAGGTGTGAAGAGATCAATTTTCTTCCAAGATAGCTAAGGAGGGAGTAGAAAATTGTGGGATGATGGGTAGAGAAGAGGAAGGAACCTCTGAGGAATCATTTTTGTCTCAGGCAGCAAAACTATAAGCCTTAGACATCATCTGCCTCATCTCTCTCCATTCCTCAAATCCAGACTCCAATCTGCCTCCAGATCAGGTAGCCCCCAAAAAGCTGCCAATTTTCTCCCTTTGAAATAATCTTTTAGATTTACCCCCTTTCTTTAGAGTACTCACTGTGCTCATTTTTTTTTTAAGAGACAGAATCTCATTATATTGCCTAGGTTGGAGTGCAGTGGCTATTCACAGGCACAATCACAGCTAATTGCAGCCTCAAGTGATCCTCCTGCCTCGGCCTCCAGAGTAGCTAGGACTACAGGTACATGCCACTGGGCCGATTCTTAAGTCTTAATTACTATTGCAACATACCCTACATCCTAACCTTGCCTCTAATCTCCTCTACTCAAAGTCTTCCAAACAGATTTTACATCACTTCTCAGCTAAAATCTCTCAAGGGCTGCCAGTTCCCATCACATCAATACCAAATGCTTCAGTCTGAATTTCTAGGCCCCATTACCTGACTACATCCATCCTACCCAAGCAATCTCCAACAAGTATCCTCTGAAAATGCCATGCTCATTTAATTCTCCACATCCAAAGCACCTAGCCTGTCTCAACAACAACAACAAAGCATAAAACCTTTGTACACTGGGAAGAATTAGAAAATATCAGCCCAATTAAATATAAAAGTACCAGGTCAGGATTATAAATTGTAATGACAATCACTTCACTGTATGCAGAGAAAATAAGAGCACATGATGGTAAACTGAAGAGGCTACTAATTCGTGACAAGAGGCAAACAGTCCACTTAGAGGTAGATACACAAAATAACAGAAAATATGACCCTTCTTTCTCTAATTCCAGACAGGAAATCTACAACCCTAATAACTACTCTTACCCACTGCCAAGAGAATTTTCTCCTTTTTTTTTTTTTTTGACAGGATCTTGCTCTGTTGCCTAGGCTGGAATGCAGTGGCATGATCATGGCTCACTGCAGTCTCAAACTTCTGGCCTCAAGTGATCCTACTACTGCCTCAGCCTCCTGAGTAGCTGGGACTACAGGCATACCACCACAACCAACTGAGTGTAGAGACAGGATCTCACTATGTTGCCCAGTCTAGTTTCAAACTCTGGGCCCCAAGCAATCCTTTTGTCTCGGCTTCCCAACTTGCTAGAATTACAGGTGTTAGCCACCAAGCCCAGCCAAAATTACAGACAAAAAGAGACAAATAGCAATTTGCTAAGGATTTTCTAAAATTCCCAGCATAGTAACAATACCTACTATATCAATAACTTAAATCAACTGTGAACAAGTTGAATACATTAATATCACATGACTACATAGAAAAGTTATTTTTAATTACACTTTTCTCAAGCTGTATTGCTTACCTAACTTTGCATTCTAAGATTGACCGCTTTTTTTTTTTTTTTTTGAGATGGAGTCTCCCTCTGTCTCAAGGCTGGAGTGCAGTGGCACAATCTCGGCTCACTGCAACCTCCGCCTCCCGGGTTCAAGTGATTCTCCTGCCTCAACCTCCCGAGCCTGCCACCACGCCCAGCTAATTTTTGTATTTTTAGTAGAGACGGGGTTTCACCATGTCGGCCAGGATGGTTTTTTTTTTTCTTGAGAGGGAGTTTCGCTCTTGTTGCCCAGGCTAGAGTGCAATGGGGCGATCTCAGCTCACTGCAACCTCAGCCTCCCGGGTTCAAGTGATTCTCCTGCCTCAGCCTCCCAAATAGCTGAGATTACAGGCTCCTGCCACCATGCCTAGCTAATTTTTTGTATTTTTAGTAGAGACGGGGTTTTGCCATGTTGGCCAGGCTGGTCTTGAAATCCTCATCTCAGGTGATCCACCCGCCTCAGCCTCCCAAAGTGCTGGGATTACAGGCGTGAGCCACCATGCCCACCCTGACCTCACTTTTTAAGTCCTCAGTCTGAGGCCGGGCTCCGTGGCTCACACCTGTAATCCCAGCACTTTGGGAGGCTGAGGCGGGTGGATCACCTGAGGTCAGGAGTTCGAGACCAGCTGGGCCAACATGGTAAAACCCCATCTCTACTAAAAATACAAAAATTAGCTGGGGTGGTGGTGCGCACCTGTAATCCCAGCTACTCAGAAGGCTGAGGCAGGAGAACTGCTTGAACCCAGAAGGCGGAGATTGCAGTGAGCCGAGATCATGCCATTGCACTCCAGCCTGGGCAACAAGAGTGAAACTTCGTCTCAAAAAAAAAAATGTCTTCAGTTTAAAAATATCAAAGGCAAAAATAAAGGCAATAGATTTCAATCACAACTTTGAACCAAATTCCTAAAATAATAAATTAGGGGATGGGTACGGTGGCTCACGCCTGTAATCCCAGCACTTTGGGAGGCCAAGGTGGGCGGATCACCTGAGGTCAGGAGTTCAAGACCAGCCTGGCCCACATGGTGAAACCTCGTCTCTAATAAAAATACAAAAAGTAGTCAGGCATGGTGGTGCACACCTGTAGTCCCAGCTACTCGGGAGGCTGAGGTGGGAGAATCGCTTGAACCCAGGAGGAGGTGGTTGAAGTGAGCTGAGATCGCGCCACTACACTCCAGCCTGGGTGACAGCATGACTGTGTCTCAAAAAAATAAATAAACTACATACTTGCTTCTTCAAGGTGATAAAGTCTTTGAGCAATTTCAATTTCTCCCTGAAAAAAAAACTTCTACATTTATACATTTGCTAACTCCCATTTTAGACATGTAACCTACTATCTAAAGGCTCCAATATTTTCAGTTTTTTGTTTGTTTGTTTGTTTGTTTTTTTGTTGTTTTTTTTTTTGAGACAGAGTTTCACTCTTATTTCCCAGTATGGAGTGCAATGGCGCAATCTTGGCTCACTGCAACCTCTGCCTCCTGGGTTCAAGCGATTCTCCTGCCTCAGCCTCTCGAGTAGCTGGGATTACAGTTGCCCACCATCACGCCCGGCTAATTTTTGTAGAGACGGAGTTTCACCATGTTGGCCAGACTGGTCTCAAACTCCTGACCTCAGGTGATCTGTCCACCTCAGCCTCCCAAAGTGCTGGGACTACAGGTGTGAGCCACCACACTCAGCCTTCATTTTTTTTTTAATAGAACCAATACTCCACTAACATCTCTTTGACGAGAAACAGGTTTACAATTCTATTTGTATGCTTCTAGAGAAACATCTATCTCCATTCTCAGATTTAAATTTATGTGCAAAAACAAAGACACGATATATATATAAAATAAATTTCAACGTGAACCCAAGAAAAAGGATTTGTCTGAGCTGCCAATAGGTTTTCAAAACAGCCTACCCACCCTAATGTGTAGGACAATTCAGACTCAAGATAACCACTAAAGCAAATTTTTTTAAATCTGCAATTGCCAAGAAACCAAGGAGTACCAAGGCATAATTAAGATACAAATCAACAGAAACAAAAGTGACACACCCACATTCTCCCTCTGTAACTTTAAAGAACAGCAGGGATATAAGGTAAAGCGAATGTTTAATGAACTCAGAATAACAACATACCATAAAAGTTTTTCTTATAAAAACTGAATGTGGTATGAGACATTTGTTGGCCAAAAAAAATTCTCTTTGCTAACATTACCGGCGGTGACCAAACAATGTGTTTGGGCAGAAACAAAATCAATATCAAATATTAATATTTAAAGCTGAAGGAATCTTATAGCAATCAAGAACTTCTGGAATTTAGACGCAATAAAATTGAGGCTAAGAGAAGTGAACTGATCATTTAGCTAGAAAGTCAAGAAATTCTTCATAAGCTCAAATAAAAACAAATGTTATCATTTATCACCCTCTAACAATACTTGACAGCATTACTGAAAACAACAACTCAAATAAGATACTCTCCATTTCTATACACACGGAATATATACATATCACACATACACATACACACTTCAAAATCTGAAACTACTGTAGTTCTAGCTGATGCAGGAGGATCGAATGAGCCCAGGAGTCCCGACGCCAGCCTGGGCAACATGACAAGGCCAGTCTCTAAACAATAAATAAATATAAAACTTTGTCTTAGTTAGGGTTCTGTTAAAATAAAATAAAATAAAACAAAACAAAACTAGAAAAACTTCAAGAGCTAATGGTGATACAAAAATTAGCCGGGCGTGGTGATGGGTACCAGTAATCCCAGCTACTCGGGAGGGTGAGGCAGGAGAATTGCTTGAACCCAAGAGGCAGAGGTTGCAGTGATCAACCACTGCACTCCAGCCTGGCAACAGAGTGAGACTCCACCTCAAAAAAAAAAAAAAGAGCTAATGGTGGCAGTTATCAAAAGCACAGGATGCTATACCTTCAAAACAGGTAGTTCAGAAAAACTAGCCTAATTTAGATTTTGACAATGTCCAAGAAAACTTCATCTTAGCCACTTTAATCTGTGTTCAAAATGCCCTTCAACCTGAAGTAAGAGTCAAGTCATCAAGTAAAAAAATAATCTGCCACATATAGCAACAGGACTCCAAGTACTAAATTGGTTCACCTGCACTCATGGTGCTGGCAGGCCAAAACCCATCTTTTTTTTTTTTTTTTAATCATATATGTATACCTCCAACTTGAGAAATTAAACCTGAACTCAATCAAATGCCTTTAAAAGCATTAGCCTACTCTCAATGAAGAGTTATTTGGAAAAAGCTTAAAACAACCAAATTCATACAACAGAGATAAATTTAAAAATCAAAGTAAAATTTTGCCCAAAGCTTATGATTAGCAATAGGATTTCAGCTGTGAACTGATAAGCAACCAAAAACAAATTTGTTACAAGTTTCCCTTTAAGTGGCCTGTATATATACATATATGTATATATTTAAGTTGTACCAAAAACTGCTTACAAATGGCAATTCCTGTGAAGTAGATGATGATGAAGTTCCAGGTAATTCTAGCATGTTTCCTAATGTACTGGTACTGGAATCTGGATCATCCTGAAAAGATAAATTTATTGAGTTTAATTGCTCTTCTATTGTAATGTTTGTGTCTCCTAGTGAAAAGGGGGCTGGGAGAAGGGCTGCTTTTTCATTGCTGCCGTCCACTTCATTTCTTTGCTTATTTTTCTGTGTTTCAGTCTGAGGAGCTAATGGCAAGAATGGCGATTTGACTGCACCGTGTCTACTCTCTGGTGTGCTGTCTTGTTCACTTCCCATGGCCACTTTTACACCATTCTCTGATTTAGTCTCATAATTGCAGGTGGCATTGGTCTGAGTTTCCTCAAAGATCTCCTCTATACTCTCATCCTCTGTGACTGGCTGTTCTGGGTCCATTTCAGAATCTACATCTGCATCGTCCACACAAGTAAAATTCTCAAAGTGCAGAAAGCCATTCTTGATAGTCTTTGTTACTTTTACCTGGAGTTCAGGGGAGTTATTACAAGAGGGTTCCTGTTTCATAGCAAGTGCTGTAGGACCACCAGGACTCAAGGAAGTGCAAACAATTGGCGTCTGAGCTCTTGAATCACTTTTTTCAGGGTCTTGAAAGGATTCTGATCCATCAGCAGACCCATTTAAATACTCTACATTGATCATGGAGGCCAAATCCTGTAGTCTCCGCAGTGGAATGTAACAAGATGGAGAATCTTGTCCATAAGCATTTTGGGATGTTCCACTGACAGTCGATAACTGCATAGTACACCCATTAAGTGGCTCAGAAAAATTGGATTGACCATTACCGAAAGGGCTGTCCTTGTCTTCAGGGGCATCTAAATTCACTGGATTGGAAAAGGGCAGCAGACAATTTCTTCTGGGTAGTTCACAGGTCTGATCCATCCTGGGCCGGCATCAACCTGGAATCCAAAAGCACAGCAATTAATCTGAGTTAATAGGCCATCTGACTCGACTCTTTAAAATGGCAGCCACTTCAAGGCCTAGTGGCCTCTATGCCTTTCTGCTGCACTTCCATGGGCAGAAAAAGTTCCCCCGACTGGAGATGAAAAAATGGCCTCGATGAGCCTCTGAAAACTCCATTTTCCCGAAGCTGGGCCGATCCTGCTACATAGAAACAGCCCGTCTCTTTTTCCTCCTCTGTAGACTGGTGGACACTTGGGATGAACTAAAATTAAAACCCCTCTGCCCGTCAAAATTCCCAATTCTCAAACAGGACTAGTCCTCCCCCTCCCTCGCCAGGGGTCGAGCAGCTGGATCTCTCAAAAGCAAAAGGCTGCGGGGTCCGAGGGGGGCTCCTGGACCCTGCACAAAAAGGTACCCCCCCCTTCCTGGCTCGCTAGGGCGCAGCGGTCACAATAGCGCTGCACCCTGCGCCCAGCCAGCGCCGGAGCCTTTGCAGCGGCGGTGCGCAGGCCGCAGGCGAGCCGGCCGAGGCGGCTGCACCCCAGAGCTCGCCTTCCTGAATGCAGGCCTGCTGGATCCGCAGCTGCAGGGCGAAGAGGCCTGGACCCGGCAGAGGGAGAAACCGAGGCGGCCAGCGAAGCCCAGTCAGGGTAGCAGCAGCTGCTACAGCTCGAAAAACATGGCTGCTGCCGACGCCGCCGCCGCCTGCCCGGGCCGCGCTCCTTCCCGCAGCCGCGGCAGCACCTCCCAGCCGAGCCGATCGCTCTCATCAATATTCAGCAGCAAGCAAAGTTTGCTGCGGGAGGGCAGCCGGCCCCGCGCCCCGCAGCCTGCTACCTGAGGGGAGGCGGAGGCCGAGGTGTTCGCAGGCGGCCGGCGGGGCACGGGCCGCGCCGGGAGGAAGTTCGCGGCAGCCCGGCCAGCTAGGCCTGAGCCCGGCTGGTAGTGATGGAGGAGGGGGAGGGGGAGGAGGCCGGCGGCTGCAGCGCCGCCGGCCACCAACCCCGCATCGCGCCTGGCCCTCCCCCGAGCCCCTCACCTTACGGCCACCACCATCTTCCCCGCCCGGCCACCCTCCTCCCTCCCTTCTCCTCGCGCCTGCCCGCCGCCCACCCCAGCGCACTAGTTACCGTGCCCCGCGCCCCCTCCCGGGCCAGCTGGGGGGAGGGGGTGACCCTCATTACACTGGGGTGCGAGCGGAGCGGTGGGGAGAGAGCGGGGCCGCTCGCCGCACCCCCCTCCCCCCGCGTCTCTCTTCAGGGGAGAAGGCAGCGAGCGCGACCTGCCCCGGCCTATTCCGCCGCCGCCTCCTCCTCCTCACACCCCCACCGCGCGCGCCCCCGCGGCCGCGCGTGCGACCGAGCGCCTCGCGCCGGCCCGCGTGCGGCTGGGCCCCGAGTGCGCGCGCACCCCTTCCCCCACCGAGCGCGCGCGTTCCCTTCTCTCACTCTTCGGGGTTCAGGGCGGGTGAAGTCGGGCTTGTGAGAGCGCCGCCCAATCAGCGGAGCTGCCGCTGCCGCCCCCTCCCCTCCCCCTGCGCGCCCGCTCGCGGCCGGGGCCTACGGGCCGGCCCGGCTGCCCGGGCGGGGCCTGAGGCGGGCTCCCCAGGGGCCTCGCGCGCCTCCTTGGAGTGTCGGGGCCTGCGGGCGTCGTGGGTGGCATTCCGATCCCCTCACCTACCTCGGGGCACGGCGCTGGCCTCGGGCCGCACACGGCTCCCGCACCCTACGCGTCTCGAACCCCAACCCAGGCGGCACCTGGCGCGGCTGAGGCCTGTCCGATCGTCCCGCCAGCCCTGCTCGGGCCCGCGTCAGTCCCGGCCTCCATCTTAGGTTACAGCCCAGGCTCCCCATCCACTGGGCACCTGCCCTCAGCCCGCTGGGTTCGGCCCGAGGCCAAGGCAACCCCCCTCCTGCCGCAGGGCTCACCTGGGGGCTTGGGCTGGGGTCTTCGAGGCCTCAGGCCCCGAGCAGACGCGGCCGCAGGCGAACCCCCTACCCGGCCGCACCCCAAACCCACACCACCACCACCACCACCACCACAGACCAAGCTGAGCAGGAAACAAAATGGAGGCAGCAGCTCGGGTCTGCCTCCCTGAGCCAAGCCTGTGCAGCCCCAGGGCTCCCTCCTGTCTCAGGCTCGACGCCCGCGAGGCAGAGGCTGGATCGTCCCGGGTGCCGCGGGCAGCCGCCCTACAGCAGCGCAGACGGGCCGGGGACTCGGCCCTGCGGTGCCCACAGCCCCTCACCCACCACCCCTTCCCTTCCCCCTCCCCCCATCCCTCTCCCTCCCCTTGCCGGGCCGTGCGGGGTGAGCGGCTCTGGGGAGCCGGGTCGGGTTACCCGCCCCGGCACTGCTCGCCCGGCCGTGGCCTCCGCGGGGGAACGAAGCCAGGCGACCCCAGCGCTGAGCCCACCCCCGGCACCGAGCCGGGCTGCAGCCTGACAGCGCGTCCGCACCTCGGCCTGCAGCCGTGCGGCCCCCGCCCAGGGAGGCCGAGTCCCCAGCCCGGGCCCAGCCGGGACGAAGCTCCCTCACCACCCCCGAGCCCAGGGGTCCTCGCAGCCTCGGGCGGGGCGAGGGGAACGCCGGGGGAGGGGGTCCTCTAGTCCCTGCACCGCCTCCCGCGCCTAGTCAAGGTCTGGGCCTGGCACGGGGGCTCGGGCAGCGGGCGCCGGCCGGCGTGGGTATGTGCGTGCGCGCCGGGCTGGGGGCCGGGACGGGACGGGCCGCGCCTCGCACCGCGGACGCTGCAGTTCTCGGCACCCAGGCAGATGGCCCTCTCGTGCCACCGCCGCCCAGAGCGGGCCGCCTGCTCCGCAGCCCGGTTCCCCGGGGAGTGCGCGCCTCGCCCCTGAGGGCCGGGCATCTGGACCCCAGCGGAGCTGCGCCGGGACACGGGACCGCCCGGCTGGCCGGGACAAGCCCGCTGGCGCAGCCCTCGGCCTGGGGCCTCACGGCCTGCATCCTGCACCGGGCCCGCAGCACCGAATCTAGCACGACCGCGTGGCGTCCAATCCCCCAAGACAGCGGAAGGGCGGGACAGGGAGCCCAAGCTGGGCCTGAACTTGCGACTCCAGCCCCTCGGGCCCTTCCCCCAGCCCGGACTCCGTCGCCCCCTGGGCTTGATCCCCACCAAGAAGCTCACCTCAGGAGTTACCTGGTCCCTAGGGCGCTAAGCGCCTTCTCGCTGTTCAGAGAAAGCCGGATCCGGCCGCCATAAAAATTCCGCCTCCTCCAGAAAGCCTTCTGTGATTAGATTTGGAGTTAACTCCATCTCAAGCTGAGGGCACCGCCCTCGAGGGCCACGTGACTACTATTCTTCCCATGGCTTAGTAAATGTGCATAGTTATTGCCCCAGTGGACTGTTTACTCACTGCCTTCTGTTAACTTTGAGCCCACCTGGGAGAAAGGCCATTTTTGGCGTTGCCCTGTGTGACATTAGTGCTGGCCAGCTAAACTCCATCCTTCCCCTGCCTTCAGCCAGCGACTGGCCCAGCAGGCGTGGAGCTCGAGATGCTCTTACCCTTTTGCTCTCCAAGGCCCACAGTCCAGTGATGGAGGCTCCCAAGTCAACAGGCCCTTAGCACATGTCTGCAAGTGCCGGATGCAGACCCTGCCAAGACAGCAAGTGGGCTTTGTTAGAGGGAAAGTGCCCACTGGAACGGGACTGATGAGAGGGCTGTGACCTCAGGGAGGCTCCTTCTGTTGAAGAGTCTGAGGTACCCTGAAGATTCTCAGGTGCAAAGTCAGGTTGGTAGTTGTCTATGTGTTGGGACCAACCAGAGAAAAGTCGAGTCTATACCTACAAGGGCCAGCTCTTTGTTCTGCTAGGGTCACTCACCCTGCTAATCCCATCTGGGCAATTCGACTCAACAGGCAAGCTCTGACTGGTTCCTTCTTCACACCTAATAATTTGAGCCAATCATTTTGACTGACAGTTACTCCTCTGCCAATTGCCCCAATTCATCAATGCTCCTCCCAGTCCTTTACTTTGCCACTAACCATCCTGAGGGCCTGAGACCTGCCTTGAACTAGTCACTTAACAGTCCTGAGCCTCAGTTTCCCCATCTGCAACTTCCAATGCACAGCACTGGCTGCGAAGATTCTGTAAGGTAAAGGTCTAAGTGTTAGCAGCCTACACTCAGACTTAGTTATAGGCTGAGCACTTGATGAGTGCTGAAATGTAATTCATCGCTTCATTCAGCAACCATTTCCTGCATTCCAGGCAGTGTGCTGAGTGCTGGGGAAACAAAAGATGAGATCCTGGCCTCGGGAAAAGACAGTTAAATAAAGGTGCTATGGTGTGAAAATAGGGTTGAGACAACAGTTTCTTCCAAAGCTCACCTCTGAACAACACTGCCCTGCAGAACCCCTCTCTCCCACCTCCCAGCTCCTCTGGAAGACTGAGGGCCAAAAGGAGATTGGCAGCTGGGGATGAACTGCTTGCTGACAGGTCTGGGGGAGAAGACCAGGACCCCAGGGAAAACCTCTCAGACTTCTCTGGGATAACCCCTGAGGGCCTTACCTGCCTCTTAGAGTAAAACTTGGCCACAGAGGTCTCAATCACAGCCGACCCATCTCCAGCCTCCCCATCTGGCAGGCCCTGGCCAAGCATCTCATGTGTGCCAGCACTAGGTTGAGAAGATCCACAGCGCCATAGATTCTCACAAGGACACTGACTCCTTGAGTGGGGGCAGAAGGGAGAGGACTGTGTCCCTGTAGGGTGGGGGCCTGGGATGTACACTCAGCTCTCCTCTGGCTGGTTGTCTCAATCCAGGGACCTTTTCTGGGCCTGTGACTCCCATCCTTAGGACTGAGATAAGAATCAGTAAACACTTGCTGGGTCTGTACTAGTGTACTGGACACTGTCCTGGGCACTTCACATACAGTCGTTCCTATGACCCTTCACCAGCCCTACGAAGAATTGAGGTCCAAGAGACTAAGCCCTCATGCAAGGTGTCAGCACCTTAACTCTCACCTGGTATGATGGGCCTCACGTGCTTGCTCTCAGCCTGTCCACCCTACACATACTGCCTGTGAAAAGCCCAGCATGGTGCTTACACACAGGTGCCCAGAAATTTGAATGACAGGCAGAGGGACTCTACCTTGGGCTGAGTTTCCTCATCTGTAAATCTTGGTTACTGATAATTCCTACCCTGGTGAGATATAATAGATACCTGTTGGGACATTTGGCCAATGTACAGTGATCTCTTTTTTCTTAGAACCACCCCTTTTCATTCATTAATTCCATAAATATTTTGGGGCTCCCCGTCACAGCCTTGTGGAAAAAGCAGACAGGTAATAACAAGGCAGAGAACTGAGTACTGAGAGAGAAGCCAAGGGTGCTGGAGAAGCTGAGAATGCCCTTGAAACTAACTCAGGGGTATCCTTGAGGAAGCAACATCCAGAGAGAGTCCTGGAGGATATTCAGGAATAGCCAGGCAAGAAGGGGAAGAGGCAGAGATTCCAGCAGAGTCCAGAGAAACACCAGGCTTCAGAGGAACTGACCACAACAAGCATGTCTAGTGTATGTGCCGGGGCAGAGGTAATGAGTGCAGAAAGAGGCTCAACCAAGGATGGGGCAGACACAGAGCCTCACCCTTCAGGGCTTGGTTGGTTAAGTTAAAGAGTTGAAGCTTTATCTGGAAGGCAGTAAGCAGCCATGGAAGGTGAGGGAGGAGGATAATGACGTGATGGCATCTGAGCAGTAGAAAGCTCACTCTTCTGTGTCCAGAAGACACTGGTTCCTCCCCTAGAAACACAACTCCAGCAAGGGCTCTGCCTGTTGTTACAATAACAGTTGTAGCTTATCCTCCTCTGTTCCAGCTACCCTGCAGGATACTCATTTACTCCTCTGAGATGGGTATTATTGTTATCCCCATCTTCTAGAAAGGAAGCATGACTTGCCCAGAGACAAACTCCCATCCTAGTTCCAGCTCCTTGTTCCCACTGAACAGGAACAGCATCTGCCTTCTGACTAAACAGTTAGGTCTTGGGAGAGGCATGGAGGCCTTTGGTAATTAATCCTGAACATAGCTGGTGAACACCAGGACCATGCCTTCTGATGGGTCTAGGAGCTGTTTCCTTCCTCTCCCCACCCACGGATTTCCCCAAAATTGAATCAGTTTTCAACTTAAGATCAAGGAAGGCCTGACCACATCTGAGACCAGGCAGCCCTCCAGCAGTCTCCTTCCTGCCCCAAATACCAGGTCCTGTCGCTAACCTGAGCCTGTACGCCCAGCCCCAGCCCGAAGGACTCAAGCATCCACCTTTAAGTTTTCTTCTTCTTAAACCTCCTTCTGAAGCTTGGTATGGTGGCCACTAATCCCTGCCCTCCTGCTCTCACTTCCCCCAACTGCCCAGTGCCAGGACAAGCCACATCCTGTCCAGCCTATGCTCATGCCAGTCACTCTGCCTTTTCCCCTGGGCAGACTCCATTCATCCTGTTTAGAAGACTCCTCCTCCTGGTAGTCTTCCCACCCCTACAGGCAGCCATTTTCCCTGAGTCCTGGTAGTAACTAATGGCTTCTAAATCTGGTCTCATCCAGTTGGACAGTCACTTCCAACAAGACTAAGGACATATACTCTCTGACCTCCAGTGAACAAGCCCAGACCGTGAAGCTCAGAGTGAGTGCTCCAGAAACATTTCATGATGCCTGATCTATCCCCTCCTCTCCTCTCCAAGCCTGTGTCTCCATCAGACAGAATTGTGGTTTCAATAACGGACCAAATGAGTTGTACAAAACTCAGATCCTCCCAAAAAGGATTCAAGATGTTTGAGGAACAAACAGCCTTTGGTGCCAGACAATGCTTTACAAAGCATAAGAGGCCAGGTACAGTGGTGCACGCCTTTAGTCCCAGCACTTTGGAAGGCTGAGGCAGACGGATCGCTTGAGCCCAGGAGTTCAAGACCAGCCTGGGCAATATGGCTAAACCTTGTCTCTACAAAAAATACAAAAAGTAGGCCAGGCGCTGTGGCTCACATCTGTAATCCCAGCACTTTGGGAGGCCAAGGCAGGTGGGTCACATGAGGTCAGGAGTTTGAGACCAGCCTGACCAATGTGGTGAAACCCCGTCTCTACTAAAAATACAAAATTAGCCGGATGTGGTGGCACACACCTGTAATCCCAGCTATTCGGGGGGCTGAGGCAGGAGAATCGCTTGAACCCAAGAGGCTGAGGTTGCAGTGAGCTGAGATCGCGCCATTTCACTCCACCCTGGTCCACAAGGCGAAACTCCATTTAAAAAAACAAACAAACAAACAAACAAATTATCCTGGCATGGTGGTGTATGATTCGCACCCATAGTCCCAGCTACTTGGCAGGCTGAGGTGGGAGGATCGCTTGAGCCCAGGATGTGGAGGCTGCAGTGAGCCATGTTCATGCCATTGCACTTCAGCCTGGGTGACAGAGTGAGACTCTGGCTCCAATAAATAAATAAATAAAAGTATAAGAGACCTTATGACCAGGCTCAGTGGCTCATGCCTGTAATCCCAGCACTTTGGGAGGCCGAGGAGGGCGGATCACAAGGTCAGGGGTTCGAGAACAGCCTGGCCAACATGGTGAAACCCCGTCTCTACTAAAGATACAAAGGATTAGCTGGGCGTGGTGGCACGTGCCTGTAATCCCAGCTACAAGGGAGGCTGAGGCAGGAGAATCGCTTGAACCTGGCAGGTGGAAGTTGCAGTAAGCTGAGATCCCGCCATTGCACTCCAGCCTGGGCTACAGGGCGAGACTCCGTCTCAAAAACAAAAAGAGCTTACGTGACCTGGAGTCAGATGGATACAAATTCAAACTGCAGCAGGGCCATTTACCAGGAATGTCATTTTCGCTCTTTGAGCCTCACCAAATGGGATAGCTATGAAGATAAAATATTCAAAGTACGTATAACCTGGCCCTGGGCCCAGCACAAAGCAACTGCCCACTGGGCACCTCCTTCAGGATGCCCCCAGGTTCCTCAACCCAATTATCTGTCTTCTCTCTCCCACCCCAATCCTGCTCCTTCTCTAGGCATCTGATTTTGTTGGATGCACCCCCAGCTTCATATCAAGCCAAGCACTTCTGAACCTACTGATTCAAAACGGAGGAAGAGAAAGTGAGAGAATGCTGGGTTCTGGCAGTGCTTGGATCAGGGAGTGGAAGGAGGAGTATGGGGAAAGGGGGAGGTCTCCAGCCAGTGGCCAGAAAGGTGGCTGCACCTCCTCCTGGGTGAGGATTAGGGTTTATAGCTCACCCACCCACACCTACCCCTTGTTGCCCCTCAAAGAGAAGATATCCTATTTTACAGATGAAAACAAAGGCTGAAAAGCAGCTCATGAAATCACTGCTCTTGCTAGTGGAGGAATGACAAAGAGTTTGTACCCAGTAGTTGCTCAATAAATACTAAAAGGGCTGGGCGTGGTGGCTGAAGCCTATAATCCCAGCACTTTGGGATGCCGAGGTGGGTGGATCACTGGAGGGCAGGAGTTGAAGACCAGACTGGGCAACGAAACCTCATCTCTACAAAAAATTAGCTGGGCGTTGGCCGGACACGGTGGCTCACGCCTGTAATCCCAGCACTTTGGGAGGCCAAAGCGGGCAGATCACAAGGTCAGGAGATCAAGACCATCCCGGCTAACACGGTGAAACCCTGTCTCTACTAAAAATACAAAAATTAGCTGGGCGTGGTGGCGGGCACCTGTAGTCCCAGCTACTCGGGAGGCTGAGACAGAAGAATCGCTTGAACCCGGGAGGCGGAGGTTGCAGTGAGCTGAGATCGCGCCACTGCACTCCAGCCTGGGTGACATAGTAAGGCTCTGTCTCAAAAAAAAAAAAAAAAACCCAGAGGCCAGGTCTGGTGGCTCACGCCTGTAATCCCAGCACTTTGGGAGGCCGAGGTGGGCAGATCACTTGAGGTCAGGAGTTTGAAACCAGCCTGGCCAATATGGCGAAATCCCCTCTCTACTAAAACTACAAAAATTAGCTGAGCGTGGTGGTGCACGCCTGTAATCCCAGCTACTTGGCAGGCTTAGGTAGGAGAATCTCTTGAAGCCGGGAGGCAGAGGTTGCAGTGACCCAAGACCACATCAGTGCACTCCAGCCTGGGTGACAGAGCGAGATTCTGTCTCAAAAAAAAAAAAAAAAAACCCTCCAGAGCTGTAGATTCAGCTAGCTTGATTTATAGAAAATGTGTCTGAAATGGCAAAGGCAGAACCCATCATCAAATCCCTCAGCCAGGCTGGGTGCAGTGGCTCACACCTGTAATCCCAGCACTTTAGGAGGCCTAGGTGGGTGGATCACGAAAGGTCAGGAGTTTGAGACCAGCCTGACCAACATGGTGAAACCCCATCTCCACTAAAAATACAAAAATTAGCCAGCCATAGTGGTGCACACCTGTAATCCCAGCTACTTGGGACGCTAAGGCATGAAAATTGCTTGAACCCGGGAGTCTGAGGTTGCAGTGAGCCAGGATCACACCACTGCACTCCAGCCTGGGCAACAGAGCGAGACTTTGCGTCAAAAAAAAAAAAAAAAAAAAAAAGGCCTTCAGCCAACTCAGATTGACTTTCAGTCAGAAAAGATCTGACTTTGTTTCTCATGAAAACCAGTGTTAGGCTGGATGTGGTGGCTCACGTCTGTAATCCCAGCACTTTGAGAGGCTGAGGTGGGTGGATTACCTGAGGTCAGGAGTTCAAGACCAGCCTGGCCAACATGGTGAAACCCTATCTCTACTAAAAATACAAAAAATTAGCCCAGCATGGTGGCAGGCACCTGTAATCCCAGCTACTTGGAAGGGTAAGGCAGAAGAATTGCTTGAACCCAGGAGGCAGAGGTTGCAGTGAGCTGAGATCACATATTGCACTCCAGCCTGGGTAACAGGAGCGAAACTCCGTCTCGGAAAAAAAAAAAAAGAAAGAAGTAAACCAGTGTTCCAGTGTTAGTATGCATCCCTGTGACAGCCATCCCCTGCTGGATTCTAATTCTAGAACAGACAGACAAGATCAGAGCGTAGCCCGAGTTTGTTGGGTAAGGCCTGGGAAACTCTGCAGGCTCCCCAGCACCCAGTCTCTGAGGCACCCCGCCCCCCACCCCCGCTGACTCCGAAGGAGATTCACTTGGGTGAGATATGGCTTTTCCCTCCTTAGTGAGAAACTGGGAGAAAGAAGACCGAAGAGATGTGATTTCTCAGGCCCACCGAGGACAAATGGAAGGTGCAGTCTGGGAACTTGTTCTTCTAACTCCAGCCATACTCAGAACAATCTGGAAAATCTTCATATCTCTCAGGCAAAAACTTTAAGCAAAAACCGAGATTGGAAAACAGGGCTTTGTAGAACAAAGAGAGCAGCTGTGAGTGGGGGATAGCGGGACAGGGCTTTTTCCAGAGATATAGTTGGCCTCTCTATCACAGGGCCTGGGTTTGCTGTTCCCTCTGCCACCCCATGACTCCTCCTGTCAATCAGCTGGAGTCCCTCCTCAAACAGGTATTCTTTGGCCCCTCCCCTGGCTCTAGGAGCTCCTATCAGGTCCCAAGTCACTCTAGCACATCTTCCTGTTGAATTGCCTTAGAGCTATTACCACTCTCTGAAATTACCTGATGTCTTTCCTATTTATTTCTTTATTTTCTTTTTGTTGAGATATAATTATCATACCATAAAATTCACAAAGAGTACAATCCAGTGGTTTTGGTTTTTGGTGTTTTTTTGAGACAGGGTCTCACTCTGTCACCCAAGCTGACGTGCAGTGGCGCGATCTTGGCTCACTGCAACTTCCGTCTCCCAGGCTCAGATGATCCTCCCACCTCAGCTTCCTGAGTAGCTGGGACTACAGGCACACGCCACCACTCCCGGCTAATTTTTGTATTTTGTACTTATTGGCCATTTATAATCTTCTTTGGAGAAATATCTATTTAGATCCTTTGCCCATTTTTTAAAAATTGGGTAATTTGTCTTTATTGTTCTGTTTTGTTTTGTTTCAGAGTCTCGCTCTGTCGCTCAGGCTGGAGTGCAGTATCATGATCTCGGCTCACTGCAACTTCTCCTGCCTCAGCCTCCTGAGCAGCTGGGATTACAGGTGCTCATCACGCCCGGCTAATTTTTGTATTTTTAGCAGAGGCGGGGTTTCACCATGTTGGCCAGGTTGGTCTCGAACTCCTGACCTCATCATGTGATCCATCTGCCTCAGCCTCCCACAGTGCTGGGACTACAGGTGTGAGCCACTGCACCCGGCCGTCTTTATTGTTCAGTTGTCAGAATTCTTCATGTATTCTGGATATGTCCTTTATCAGATATGAAATTTACAAATATTTTATCCCATTCTGTGGGTTGTCTTTTCATTTTCTTGACAGTGTCATTTTAAACACAAAAATTTTAAATTCTGATCAGGTCTAGTTTTCTTGGTTTTTCTTTACTTTTTTTAAATTTTTTTTAAGATAGGCTCTCACTTTGTTCTGTCACCCAGGCTGGAGTGCAGTGACACGATCTGGGGTCACTGTATCCCTGATCTCCAAGGCTCAAGTGATCCCCTCCACCTCATCCTCCCTAGTATTTGAATTACAGATGTGTGCCACCATGCCTGGCTAAGTTTTATATTTTTTTGTAGAGACAAGGTTTCACCATGTTCCCCAGGCTGATCTCAAACTCCTGGGCTCAAGCAATCCACCTGCCTTGGCCTCCCAAAGTGCTAGCACTATAGGTGTGAGCCACCTATTTTTTCTTTGTTGCTTGTGCTTTTGGTATCATATCTAAGAAACTACTGACCAAAACTTAATCATGAAGATTTACCCTTATGTGTTTTGCCAAGAGGTTTACAATTTTAGTCCTTATATTTAAGACTTTGATCCATTTTGAATTAATTTATGGTGTGAGGGAGGGGTTCAACTTCATTCTTTTGCATGTGGATATCCACTTGTACTAACACCATTTGTTGAAAGGACTATTCTTTCTCCATTTGAATGGTCTTGGCACTCATGACCACAAAAGCACAGGTTTATTTTTGGATTCTCACTCCTACTCCATTGATCTATAGACCCATCTTTATGCCAATACTACACAGCCTTGATTGCTTGATTTTTGTTCTTGTTATTATTCATACTCGTGTCTTTCTGGTTGTCTATAATGGAAACACCAAGAGGTGAGGACTCCTTCACTGGTCTGTTCCCAATGCGTAGAGCAAGACATGGTGCAGAGTAGATGCTCAATAAATATTTGTGAATTGAATGAACAAATTATTGAATGAGTACAGTCCTGTTGGGAAGAGGCCAATTGAGAGGGGAAGGTTGAAGGTACAAGACCAAGAGACGACTGAGGCAAAGAAGGTGCGGGGTGTGTGGGTGGGATCACAGGTGAAGGCATGGGCCATGGACCAGAGGACGAATGCCTCAACCTCTGATACTGGAGGGAAAGGCAAACTGGGGCCTCAGCTGTGTTTTATGTGGGAAGGTAAGGAAATTGAAGGAAGTCCCAGCCAGTGCCTCTGTTTTCTTGGAGAGGTGAGAAGTGAGATCATTAGCTGAGGTAGAAGAGAGGGGCGGTAGGCTCAAGGAAGCTGAGGACGACTGAATAACCTTGGGGCTCCAGCCCAGATCACTCCAGTCACAGGTGGAGGGTGCCCACTGGTTAGGCCCAACCATGGGCTGAAGTTGGGGGTGGTACCAGAGGCGGGGTCAAGGCAGGTTCTGGGGAGGAGGGGTACCAGATGAAAAATGGAGCTGGGGCAAAGGTAGGAAATATGTTCAGTTTTTCAGTTTTTCCTTTTTTGAAACAGAGTTTCTATTGCCCAGGCTGGAGTGCAATGGCGTGACCTCAGCTCACTGCAATCTCTGCCTCCCAGGTTCAAGCGATCCTCCTGCCTCAGCCTCTGAAGTAGGTGGGATTACAGGCGTGTGCCACCACGCCCCACTAATTGTTCAACTGTTCAGTTTTGTTTTTTTTTTTTTTTTTTGAGATGGAGTCTCGCTCTGCTACCAGGCTGGAGTGCAGTGGTGCTATCTTGTCTCACTGTAACCTCCACCTCCCAGGTTCAAGTGATTCTCTTGCCTCAGCCTCCCAAGCAGCTGGGATTACAGGCCTTCACCACCATGCCCAGCTAATTTTTGTATTTTTAGTAGAGACGGGGTTTCAGCATGTTGGCCAGGATGGTCTTGATCTCTTGACCTTGTGATCCTGATCCGCCCACCTCGGCCTCCCAAAGTGCTGGGATTACAGGCGTGAGCCACCACGCCTGGCCTGTTCAGTTTTTTTTTACAGATGTACTTTTTTTTTTTGAGACAGAGTCTCACTCTGTCACTCAGGCTGGAGTGCAGTGGCGCGACCTCGGCTCACTGCAACCTCCGCCTCCCAGGTTCAAGCGATTCTCATGTCTCAGCCTCCCGAGTAGCTGGGATTACAGGTGTGTGCCACCACACCCGGCTAATTTTTGTATTTTTAGCAGAAGTGGAGATTCACCATGTTGGCCAGGCTGCTCTCGAACTCCTGACCTCAAGTGATCCACCCACCTTGGCCTCCCACCACGCCTGGCGATATCTTAAACACATACAGAAAAGGCCAGGCGTGGTGGCTCACGCCTGTAATCCCAACACTTTGGGAGGCCCAAGTGGGTGGATTGCCTAAGGCCAGGAATTCGAGACTAGCCTGGCCAACATGACGAATCCCCATCTCTAATAAAAATACAAAAACTAGCCAAGCTTGGTGGCTAACGCCTGTAATCCCAGCACTTTGGTAGGCCAAGGCAGGAGGATAACCTGAGGTCGGGAGTTCAAGACCAGCCTGGCCAACATGGTGAAATCTTGTCTGTACTAAAAATACAGAAATTAGCTGGGTGCGGTGGTCTGTGCCTGTAATTTGAACTCCTGGGGAGGCTGAGGCAGGAGGATGGCTTCAACCCGGGAGGTGGAGGTTGCAGTGAGCCGAGATTGTACCACTGCATTCCAGCCTGGGCGACAGAGCAAAACTCCATCCCAAAAAACAAATGAAGAAACAAAAATTAGCCAGGTGTGGTGGCATGCACCTGTAATCCCACCTACTTGGGAGGCTGAGGCAGGAGAACTGCTTGAACCCGGGGAGGTGGAGGTTGCAGTGAGCCGAGATCAGGTCACTGCCCTCCAGCCTGGGCGATAGATCAAGACTTTGTCTTAAAAAAAAAAAAAAAAGACAAAAACAGAAAAGTAAAAAAGAAAAATAATGGCTGGGTGCAGTGGCTCACGCCTGTAATCCCAGCACTTTGGGAGGCCTAAGTGGGCGGATCATCTGAGGTTGGGAGTTCGCGACCAGCCTGACCAACATAGAGAAATCCCGTCTCTACTAAAAATACAAAATTAGCTGGGCATGGTGGCGCATGCCTGTAATCCCAGCTACTCGGGAGACTGAGGCAGGAGAATTGCTTGAACCCTGAAGGCTGAGGTTGCCGTAAACCGAGATTGCGCCATTGCACTCCAGCCTGGGCAACAAGAGCGATACTCCATCTCAAAAAAAAAAAAAAAAAAGAAAAAGAAAACAAAAAAGACCTGGACTCAATATGCGTTAACATTTTGCATATTTGCTTGGTAGACTTTTTTCGAAGGCATTTCAAATTGAGTTGCAGAAATCCTAATACTTCTCACCTACAACACTTAGTAAACTTCTCCAAAAAGGAGAACAGTTTTCTACATAACCACAATACCACCTAACAATAATTTGCTTCAGTCTAATGCCTTTTCCATATTCAAATTTCCCTAAAATGTCTTTGGTAGATGGATCATACACTGGTCCTTGTATCTCTTTTTTTTTTTTTTTTTGAGATGGAATTTTGCTCTTGTTGCCCAAACTGGAGTGCAGTGGCACAATCTGGGCCAACTGCAACCTCCACCTCCCGAGTTCAAGCGATTCTCTTGCCTCAGCCTCCTGAGTAGCTGGGATTACAGGCACACACCACCATGCCCGGCTAACTTTTGTATTTTTAGTAGAGACGGGGTTTTGCCATGTTGGGCAGGCTGGTCTTGAACTCCTGACCTCAAGTGATCCACCCCCCCTCGGCCTCCCAAAGTGCTGGTATTGAGCCACCATGCCCGGGCAGTCCTTGTATCTCTTAAGTATCTTATAATCTAGAAAGTCCCCAACCTTATGTTTTTTTGTTTGGGGGTCTCGCTCTGTCGCCTAGGCTGGGGTGCAGTGGCATGATCTCAGCTCACTGCAACCTCCGCCTCCTGGGTTCAAGCAATTCTCCTGCCTCAGCCTCCTGAGTAGCTGGGATTACAGGCACACATCACCATGTCCGACTAATTTTTTTGTATTTTAGTAGAGACAGGATTTCACCATGTTGCCCAGGCTGATCTTGAACTCCTGAACTCAGGCAATCCACTCACCTGACACTCTGGGCCTCCCAGAGTGTTAGGATGATAGATGTAAGCCACCATGCCCAGCCACGCCTGGCTAGTTTTTGTATTTGTAGTAGGGAAGGGGTTCCACCATGTTGGCCAGGCTGGTCTTGAACTGCTGACCTCAGGTGATCTGCCTGCCTCAGCCTCCCAAAGTGCTGGGATTACAGGCGTGAGCCACCGTGCCTGGCCTATTTTTTTTTTTTTTAAGATGGAGTCTCCCTCCTGTTGCCTAGGCTGGAGTGCAATGGCTTGGTCTTGGCTCACTGCAACCTCTGCCTCCTGGGTTCAAGCGATTCTCCTGCCTTAGCCTCCCAAGTGGCTGGGATTACAGGCAGCTGCCACCATGCCCAGCTAATTTTTGTACTTTTTAGTAGAGATGGGGTTTCACCATGTTGGCCAGGATGGTCTCGATTTCCTGACCTTGTGATCCGCCTGCCTCGGTCTCCTAAAGTGTTGGGATTACAGGCTGAGCCACCGTGCCTGGCTGTGGTGGGTCTTTAGAGTGCCCATTGCCTGAGCTGGTGTTGGAGAGGCAGCACACTGTGAAGTTATGAGCACAGACGCTGGCCCACAAGGCCTGATTTGAACCCCCAGCTCTGCCACTTAATAGTGACCTTGGGTAAGTTACCGAGAACTTCTCTGTGCCTCTGTGATCGCTCTGTAAAGTGGGATTTTCTTTTTTTTTCTTCTTCTTCTTTTTCTTTTATTGAGATGGAGTCTCACTCTGTTGCTCAGGCTGGAGGGCAGTGGCACAATCTCACTGCAACCTCCACCTCCCAGGTTCAAAGGATTCTCCTGCCTCAGTCTCCTGAGTAGCTGGGATTACAGATGTGCACCACCATGCCTAGCTAATTTTTGTATTTTTAGTAGAGACGGCGTTTAGCCATGTTGGCCAGGCTGGTGATTCACCCGCCTCGGCCTCCCAAAGTGCTGGGATTGCAGGTGTGAACCACCATGCCCAGCCTAAAGTGGGATTGTTGAGAGGTAATATGTAAGTTTAGAACAGTATCTGGCACCTGGCAAGTCCTCCAATGATTGTAATCACGATTACTATTTTAGCGAGGTTCACACAAAGTTGGTGCATGGCAGCCTTCTAGCAAGATGTGTTTCAGTACCTCCCTGTTGTGTTATAAACATTCCCACCTTATTGCTGGTGTCTTTCCTGATGTAAATCCCATGGTTTCATGTCCTGTCCTACTACTGTTCCTGTATAGCTTAAATTTCCCCTTGTTAGACCAAGTGAAGGGACTGTGGAATTGGAAGACTCAAAAGTCATATGGTTACACTGTTGTTAACAAGCAGTGTACATTCTAGTAAGGGGCAGTAGGAAGAAAAAGCCTTAGTACAAGGCCGTGTGTGATGAGATTGTGACTTCCTCTAAGGTAGGACTATCCACAATCATAAAAACTGTTACCAACGTGTTTTGGGAGCTCACAGTGTGCCAGGTACGAGACTTTACAATCTTCACAAAGATACTGAAGTAGGTATTAGTAGTCCCATTTTCCAGAAGAGGTATCTGAGGTTCAGTGAAGTTAAACACTTGTCCTAGGTCACATGGTAAGCAAGTAATTTTTCTTTCTTTTCTTTTTTTGAAACAGGGTCTTGCCCCGTCACCCAGGCTGGAGTGCAGTGGTGTGATCTCAGCTCACTGCTATCTCTGCCTTCTGGGCTCAAGCGATCCTCCCGCCTCAGCCTCCCGAGTATCTGGGACCACAGGCACACGCCACCACGCTCTGCTAATTTTTGTATTTTTTGGTAGAGACGGGTTTTGCCATGTTGCGCAGGCTGGCCTCAAACTCCTGAGCTCAAGCAATCTGCCCGCCTTGGACTCCCACAGTGCTGGGATTACAGGCATGAGCCACCCGGCCCGGCATTTATTTGGGATTACAGGAGTGAGCCACCATGCCCAGCATTTATTTATTTATTTATTTATTTATTTTTGAGGCAAGGCCTCACTTTTTCGACCAGCCTGGAGCGCTGTGGCGTGATCTCGGCTCACCACAGCCTGCCCACTCTTGCTCAAGTGATCCTCCCTCCTCGGCCACCGGAGTAGCTGGGACCACAGGCGCGCACCGCCATCCCCATCCCCGGCTAATTTTTGTTTGTTTGAGACGGAGTCTGTCGCTCAGGCTGGAGTGCAGTGGCGCCATCACCGCTCACTGCACCCTAGAAGGCCCGGGCTCAAGTGATCCCCTCACCTCGGCCTCCAGGGTAACTGGAAGTAAAGGCACGCGCCACCACGCCCGGCTAACTTTTGTATTTTTTAGTGGAGACGCGGTTTCGCCATGTTGCCCAGGCTGGTCTCAAACTCCTGAGCTAAAGCAATCCGCCCGCCTAGACCTCCCAAAGTGCTGAGATTGCAGGTGTGAGCCACCGCGCCCAGCGGAGCAAGTAATTTCAACTTGGTTCTGCTTGCTTCCAAATCTCCTAAAACACTACTTTGGACCAGAGGGGGTAAAAAGGACATGGCCCCAGAAGCCAGCGAGAGAAAAAGGGGGAATTTATCAGAAGGACACAGGGTCCGGGCGTCTGGGACAGGCGGCCTCCCCAACTCCCTCGGCCGGCGGAACAGGGTAGTGGGAGACCCGGCTCCACACTCCCAGTTCGGCGCCCGCGGAATCCAGCCGGGTGCACGTGGCCAGCACAGCCTCTGGGCCCTGCCGCACTCAGGTCGGGCTTCCGCTCCCGGCCACACGCGGGCCGCATTCCTGGGAGAACGCCTCCTATTGGTCCGTTCGGTCAGGTGGCTGCCACGGGCCAATCAGCGGCGGCTGGTGCCGTGGGCCGCGCGAAGGGCTCTGCGGCGGTGGAGCCTCAGAAAAGATCATCTTTGTACGTTGGGTTGCGCCGGCAAAGGGCAGCCAATTCCTATTAACTTTCAGCGTGTCCCAGATCTTGCTAGCGACCCCACTGGCCCTTTGTGCCTGTTTATCTGAATTCACCACCAGCCCTGCCGCAGCGCTTAGAAAACGAGACAGAGAACAACTGGGCCGGCCCTCCTCGTGGGCTTTGAGTCCCGCCCTATTGCTTCCATGGGTTTTTGTGTCCCTTTCTCCTCTCTCGCCTCTGGAGCGCCAACCCTTTCCTGTCTTCTTGCTCCTTCCCGGCAGCCCACAAACGGCCGAGAAAAATGTCAACTACCCTGCAACCAGGCTCTGCTTCTCCTTCCCTCCACTGTCCTGTCCCCTCTTCCTCATCTTCCTCCTGATCCCACTGCACCCTGGCTTCAGATCACCAGTAGTGCCGCTGTAGCCAAATCCGGTGACGTTTCACCATCTTTGCTGCTTTACTCTGAGAAGCATTTGACTCTTTACCCTACTTGAACCAACCAGGTTTCCAGGCCATCCCACTCCTACCTGATCCCTCCTAATTCTCACAAACCCTTCTCTATGCCTCCATGTCATGGGCATGTCTCCCCTTTTCCCTGCCTGACAAACAAAGGTGTCGCAGTGCCCCATCCCAGGCCCATTTGCTTATTATTCACCCAGTTTCCACGAGGGATCGTCATCCACTCAGCACGTGCATTCCCTAGATGCCAGCAATGCTGGGGCCTCAATCTAGCCTAGATTTGTCCCACAGCCCCAAATTCACTACCTGGGAATCTCACAGACAACTCAGGCTCAACATAAGCCATTCATTCAATAAATATGTATTAAGCTGTGTGCTTATTTATAGTAAATATCTATATCTTTATATACAGACATATTTTTTTCAGTTGAAGTCTCGCTCTGTCGCTCAGGCTGGAGTGCAGTGGCGCGAAATCGGCTCACTGCAACCTGCGCCTCCCGGTTTCAAGCGATTCTCCTGCCTCAGCATCCCGAGTAGCTGGGATTACAGGCGCACGCCACCATGCCCGGCTAATTTTTGTATTTTTTAAGTAGAGACGGGGGTTTCACCATGTTGGCCAGGCTGGTCTCGGACTCCTGACCTTGTGATCCGCCTACCTCGGCCTCCCAAAGTGTTGGGATTACAGGCGTGAGCCACCGTGCCTGGCCTTTTTTTTTTTTTTTTTTTTAAGACAAATTCTCGATCTATCGCCCAGGCTGGAGGGCAGTGACCTGATCTCGGCTCACTGCAACCTCCACCTCCCGGGTTCAAGCAATTCTCCTGCCTCAGCGCCCCTAGTAGCTGGAATTACAGATGTGCGCCACCACACCCCACTAATTTTTGTATTTTTAGTAGAGATGGGGTTTCACCATGTTGGCCAGGCTGGTCTCGAACTCTTGACCTCAAGTGATCCGCCCGCTTTGGCCTCCCAAAGTGTTGGGGTTACAGGTATGAGCCACCACGTCCGGCCAACATTAGGTGTTTTTTGTTTTGTTTTGCTTTTTTAAGAAAGTCACTCCATCGCCCAGGCTGGAGTGCAGTGGCGCCATCTTGGCTCACTGCAACCTCCGCCTCCCAGGTTCAAGCGA